>NC_000002.12:18570361-18721876 GCF_000001405.40 Homo sapiens | reverse complement strand
AACTAGCCTAATATTTCTTTGGTCATGGCTGAAGCCGAAGTTCAGGACTGAGAAGCATCTGAAATGTTTTTCTAGGCAGACAATCTGTTTAAGAGACTTCGCACATTCATTAAAGCAAACATCAGACTCTCCGCGCCACACCCTCAAAACTGGCAGAGAACTCTGAGCCAGACCCAGTAGGGCCTGACCCCTGAAAATGATGCTGTTCAGGCCCTCTGATATCAAAAATGCTTGTCAGGCCAGATTCATTTGCCAAATCATTCAACATGGACACACTTAACCTATGGTCCTACTTATGTAAACGATTTCATCCAAAAAGCAAATTTAAATGGAAACAGGCATGTTCTGTCTGTGTCTGTATATGTGTGGTGTGTGTGTGTGTGTGTGTGCATGTGCATGCACAGTCAGGATCTAACTCATTCTTATCCATAGCGCCTTGTGTATCTGCGACAAGTATATGGGTGCAGCTATAAACAATGGAGGAACTCTCAATTCCATGAGAGACCCAATTAGAAAAAATAACTTCTAAGCAGGCCAAGAAAAACAGCTAGAGGAAAGGAGGATAAAGGAAATTTAAGAGCATTTAGTGGTGCAGGAGGAGGCAGGGGGGAAAGAGGACGAGGGTGATTCCCAAGATTACGTCAGTCTACTTCCCTTGTAGTAGGCATTTTTCCTAAACAGAACACTTTGGCCCGTATTGTCAGAAGTCACAGAAAGAAGGTAAATAGCCAAGAATGTGTGACTTCATTGTGCAAAGAAAGGGTCTAGGGTGCCTGGGATATCCTGCTCTCTCATCTTACTGAAACTTCTTCAAGATCTCTTTTGAATTTTGGTGTTCTCACTGAGATAAAGCATGGAGAAAGCAGGGCCTGGATCTTATTACTTATTTTAGCTATTGTATAATGGTTCTGAAAGATTAACATACGTCATGCCCCTCTTCTAAGAATATATTACCTCATGTTTTAGGTGTCATGATTGTGTCAACTTTTACAGATAAACAAATAAAACCAAGAGTTTGAAAAACTTGTTCAAAATTAAGAGGCATGTAGTATAAAAGCTGGAATTCAATGCCCAGGTCTGGTCTTCTACACACCTTTGGGTATACAAATGCGCACAGTAAGTGATTAATAAATGATTGGATGCTGGCTGGAAGTATGAAATGGACAGCATTACAGCCAATAGGTACAGGATCCATCTTTTTCACACTCTAAATTGCATGCCCTGAGGGTAAGCTGGGCATCACTGGGATCACAGCAGAACAGAAAGTCCATACGTGACCCATGACAGAAACATTTCACTGGGACCATGAGGCCTGGGCTCTGGAAATAAACCACTGCTGGCTCTCTGCATGGCTTGGCAAATACCAGTTTATCTCCCAGGGTCTCTGTTTTCTTTTCTAGCAAATGAATGAAATTCCACTTCACTCTATAAATCTATTGAGAGGACCAAAGGAGATAAATATAAGAGAAGGTGCTTCTCATACCCCACATGGGACACAGCACCAGTAAAGAATGTGTCCTGACACTTGGGAACTAGTTTTATGTTCTTCTAACCTAACTGTTCTGATCGTTGTTCATTACTCTCTGCTGCTGGGGAGCTCAAACAATATTACTTTTAAGTAAAATGCAAAAAATTCACAGGGTATTAGAAAAAAGAAGTTGGGAAATACTGGCAGATTAGATGGAAAGTAGATCTCTGACTCACCATCTCTTCCAGAAAGATATCCAAATGCTTTCTCCTGATATCCAAGACCTTTCCAAATGCTCTTCCATGGAATTCATGCTCCAGTAATAACACACGACATGTAGTTCCTCCAACAGAGCAAACTCTCTCAGACCTCTGATCTCTTTCATTTGTGGCCAGAACACTGATGCCCCATTCTCTTTACTGTTTTGAAATTCAGTTCATGCGCTATTACTGTTAGGGACATTCTCTGCTCCCTCTTCAGTGCTCATGCATCACTTGTACCATTGCACAATTCCTGAGCATCCTCATCACCATTGCTACTAAGTTCTTCAAGGGCAGGAACTGTGCTTCTTTGATCTTGTTATTCCCAATGTTTGGCATAGGACCTAGAACTGTGGAGTCATATGGTAAATTTCTAGTCAAATAAACTGAATTAATATGTGTCCGCAGTACCTTGTATGGTCAGGAGACAGAAAAGGCTGTTTCGTTTGATGCTAAACAAATAATCTCAAGTGCAAAGTTTCATTATTTGCAAAGTAGTTTCCTAGCATCTAAGACAGTTTCCATTTATTTCATGTTAAACCAAAGGATCTCAACAATTTTATTAACTGGAGTTTCTGTAGCTACACTGTGAATTTACTGAAGATGGGAAACACATTTTATTAACTCATCAAATCACAGATTTTAAATAATGTTCATTGACTGAATGAATGAATAAATTTACTATATTCATTTCCACATCACCTCACAGAACCTAGCATGATGCTGAGCACATAATGGATGCTCAACAAATGACATCCAAATGAATGAGTAAACAAATGAATGTCTTTCTAATTTTTTTTTAACTGTAGTGACTAATAAAAAATGTGGCACATTGCTGCTTAAAGGCCCTTGTTTGAGGCATAGGAAAACTGAGATTCGAGAACTATCAAGTGAAAATCTGGCTACTTTTTCAGGGTTAAGACCCTTTTACAATACAAAGTGAAATATAAAAATATCTGCCAAATGTTTACATTTGTAAGTTTAAAGATGCTAGAAAAACATCATCAAAAGTAGCATCCAGGGTTGCTTAATCTCAAGATTGTCATGGTTATATACGGAGTGACATATTATTTGGCTATGATCTTGGTAGAGTTCCTAAGCTGATACATTTAATGAAGAGCATATTCAGATGTAGAATAGTTTTTATATAAATGACAGAAATAGTGCACTATGTTCAATGTCTACCCATTATGCCAAAACTCCTAAAAGCATTCCTTCCAACCAATCTCACTCTCCCCAAGAGCATAATTGGAGCCCATTAGAGTTCAGGACACAGAATTTTCTCTGTGATGTTTCACATATAAAAAGATTAGGCCATGAGAACCAAGTACAGTTAGATGAGTTCATCTTACCATGGCATTTTCCTGACCAAACAGTCAAACTAGCTCTCTCTTCCAGGAAACTCGTGATTAGATTTTGTTTAGGGAAAGTAGACTCTTTCGGGCTGAGCCTACTTGGCTGAACGGTACCTCACTCTCCCACTGGGGATAATGAACTAAAATGAAGAGTAAATTGGGTCTTCGAGGAACCTAGGTTCAAAGGTGAAGCCAAGGCAGGGCTTTGTGCATGGATACAGTTAGTCTCAGAAATGTTGAACCTCATAACTTCTCAAAACTATCCGCGTCCCAAAACCAAAGGCGCGTGACCCAGCTTCTCAGAGTTCTTGTTTAGCAGAAAAAATAAACACAGATAAAAATTCATCACCCCATAAACTTATACAAAACTCCAATAAAAACTACTTGAAGTAGACAAAATATAAAAAATGAGGAAAGCACTCTCTATTCATAATAATTTGATCCTCATTCTGATTTATTCCAATCTTAAACATAATTTATAAAAGACATACGCAGACCTCACCAGCAATGAAAAACAAATTAATGATATAGCTTATTACCCTTATAAATGTTAGTAATTTAAAAAGAAGAGTAGGCAATGTGGTCAAATGCATAGAAATGGGCCATCTCTCATATTGCTAGTACATGCAGTAAAGACGCACAAATAGGACAAAAGTGAATAACAGATAATAGAAGGGGAAGGAAGAAATGACCCTAGATTCATCATCAGAAAAAAATAATAATCTAACCAATAGGCACTCAATAATGGATACAAATTAATTAATATCCCTCCCATTTTCCCCTTTCTGTTCTTGTCTCCTCTTCCCCTCCCTCCTAGGTCTTATCCATCATCATCACCATCATCATCATCATCATCAAAAAAGAGCAGAGCAAATCCTCTGGGTCTCTTCACAGGGAAACCACCATTCACGAGAAATACAAATATGGTTTCTGTGGGATAAAGACACTGTTGGAAATTGTGTGGCACTTCATTGCCATGCTGTGTGCTGACATTAAATGTTTACTCATGTTTTTCTTAACATTTAAAAAAATTTAACCTTCTATCTCACAGATAATTTTAATCTCCTCCCCACCCCATTTCACTCACATTCTCAAACAATAAACCTTATCATCTTTTAATTCCATTCCAATTTATTGAAGCTTAATTTTACTAGAAAGATAATTTTACAGAGGTGAGATGCAGATTGTTTAAAAGAGTAGTATTGATGACTGTTTTTAAATCTGATATTTTAGAAATGCCCCTTAAATTGCCTTACTAGGTAACTCATCCTAATTATCTTCAGGAAGAGAGTGAGATGGAGGAGTAAGGGAGGCGAGAGGGAAATAGAACTGTTGTGTAATATGTATAAGTACCTGGTGCAGGCTAAGAATTCTACATATATGACCTTGGTTAGTTCCCATGTCAAGCGGAGGAGATTAGGGAGGCTCAGGAAGATTAGGTGGCCAGCTAGAAAGCAGGAAAGGCAGAGACCGAGTTGTTATGTTTCTGATACCAAAGCCTATTGCTTCTTTGCAACTTTGTCTTGCAGGGAAGTTCAAATTTTTCCCTGGAAGTTTAGATGATTGGAGCCTCTAAAACAAGCTGAGCCAGGTGTGAACATGCACACCTGTGGTCCCAGCTACTCAGGAGTCTGAAGCGGAAGGATTCTTTGAGACCAGGAGTTCAAGGCTGCAGTGAGCTATAATGGCACTCCAGCCTGGACTACAGCCTGGATGAGAGAGCAAGACCTCATATCTCTCTCTAAAAATAAAAATAAAAATAATAAAATAAACCCTAATAGACAAGACCGTGGACAGATAACAGGGAGAAAGACATACAAATTTATTGGGGGATGAGTATAGAAGTAAAATGATTTTCAGGAGAAATGAATGAAAGAAAAAGAGTTCTGGAACCCACTTTGGGCTCTGGGAAGTGAAGAGAGGACAGCAGGTCAAACTAAGTCTTGTCATGCAGTTAAAACCTCACAGGTAGCGGTGCTCAGAAAGACAAAGTATCTGTCAGACCCTGAAAGTGAGCCAATCAGTCCTAGATCCAGACTGAAGGTGGAGGGGGAGGCTGGAGTGGGAAGCAGAGCAAGCCAGGGTGTTCATTTTACCAATGCAGACTTTCTCTACAGACGCAAATCTCCCCCACAAAGGGCAGCTTTTAAGCTATTATTGTGTTACCATTCCCTCCTAATAGCCATCTTGAAATATGTCAAAGAAGGATATTTTGGGGTGAAATATTTTTTGTTTTCTTTAGTTGCTTATAGTTATCCTCCTCCAGGACACTGTTGTATTTAAATAAAGCAAACCATAAAAATAATTGTATATATTAAGGTATGCATTACATGAATATTACAACAGAAAAAAATAACTGGAATGCAGAAAACAACATACATGTCTAACAATAAGAAAATGATGGTATCCCAAAATGAACCACCATCAAAAGTAAGAATTCTGAAGAATTTACAATAACAGGAAAAATATTTGTATTAAAGTAATTGAAACATAAAATTGGCATGGTCGTGGTTACCAAGTAAAGGAAAGACATAACTCATCAGAAAAACAAGACTGGAAAGTAATTCGCCAAATGTCCATTATATTTGCCTTTGGATAATGATTATAGATGATTGTTTTCCTACTTTCTATATTTTCTTTATTGGCTAATTTTTATAGTTAGCATGTTTTATTGTTTATAGCAAAATACTTTCAATATATTATTTCTTTAGAAGAAACTTCAGTGGTTGAGGTAAATTATTTTTTTAAAAAAGCAGATTAGCATTTAGAGTTCAGGAATAATATGTCATGGACTATCTTTTTCCTGCTCATCCCCTTTATATGCAATGACATACTTTGGAAATAACTTAGCAGGCAATTATAAAAGTACTCTGAAAGGTAGTAAGATGATGATTGGTGGGATAAGGGAGTCACCATGAAAGGAAGAGGATGAAGAACAAATTATAATTTAAAGAGTTTACGTGAGCCCATATGAAGACAGCTGCCTGGAAGACTCAGACCCAAGTAACCGCAGATATGAGCTCCAATAAGCCTTTTTTAGAAGCAGGTTTTTAAAGGCAAAAAAAAAAAAAAAAAAAAAGTGGGGGAGGACAGGAGTGGACTGATACAAAGTTTTTTTGTCAGGAATTCTCATTGGTTTACAGAAATAACATTTATTAGTGATTGGCTATACATTGTTAAGCTGTGTGTGGTGTGGCATTGTTAGAGTAAAGCTACTTGTGGCAATAACAAGCAGTCTGAAGAGCTCAAAGGGGGAAGTAGGAAGTGTTTCCTATCTAGTTTTAATGTTTCTCTGGGTCTGAACACTTTAAAAGGCTCTTCAGATAAAAGTTCTTTCCTTTCCTCAAGGGTCTCAGGGATTAATAAATACCAACATGGTAACTTTCCTCCTGTTTATTCTGTTATCCCAGAATGGGTACCAGGGAGGCCTGTAACCCACAACCGCTAACCAAAACAAAACAATTAATCAAAGCAAAAAAAAAACGAGAAAAAGAAAAACGCAAAGAAAAGGACTCTTCTCTCTCTGACCAAAAGATCAGGGAAGAAAAGCCCAGTGGGGACTTGGGATTGTGGCAATGATGCCTAATCTACCTGCAGCAGCCACGCCACAAGATCTTGGGTAGCCAACCTATCCCTTGCCCACACCTGTCAGTGACAGCAGGCCAGTATTCCCAGCAGCAACAGAGCCTGGAGGGGCTGACACAACAGAGCCTGGAGGAGCTGAGACAACCCATACCTGCCAGCATTAGTGGACATGATAACAGGTAACAGCAATGTCAACTGAACATCTTGTGCAGGCCTACTAATATGGTTTGGCTGTGTCCCCACCCAAATCTCATCTTGAATTGTAGCTCCCATAATTCCGTGTCATGGTAGGGACCCAGTAGAAGGTAAATGAATCATGAAGGTGGGTCTTCTCCATGCTGTTCTCATGATAGTGAATAAGTTTCATGAAATCTGATGGCTGTATAAAGGAGAGTTCCCCTACATAAGCTGGCTTTGCCTGCTGCCATGTAAGACATGACTTTGCTCCTCCTTCGCCTTCTGCATGATTGTGAGGCCTCCCAAGCAATGTGGAACTGTGAGTCAATTAATCCTCTTTCCTTTATAAATTACCCAGTGTCAGGTAATTTATTAGCTGAGGCTAAATTTGCGGGTTATAGGCCTCCCTGGTACCCATACCTTGTGGCAATAATGCCCAATCTACCTGCAGCAGCCATGCCACAAGATCTTGGGTAGCCAACCTATCCCTTGCCCACACCTGTCAGTGACAGCAGGCCAGTATTTCCAGCAGCAACAGAACCTAGAGGGCCTGACACAACAGAGCCTTTTATTAGCTTTATTAGCAGCGTGAGAACAGACTAACATGTCAACTCATGCCCCACTCCAGAGCAAGAGATATGTCTCCCTGGTGCTCCAAAACCAGCTGCAGAGAGCCACCCAGACTCAGTAGCTCCTGGCTCTCTATGCAATGGCATAAAGTGGCACAGAACCAATATAATCTTTCCCTCCACCAAACTGATAGAGAGTCCTCCAGACACTGTAGCTATTGATCCTCTACCCAATGCCAGAAGGCAGCCTGGTAAGTCCTTTTTTCTCCAGTGGCACCAGCAGAAATAATGTAAGAAATTCACCAATATCAGATGGCCAGAAAACAAAACAGAATTTATTCTCTCCTACAGGTCTAGTACCTCCTCCCCATTATCTAACTTTGCTGGGTAGCTGAAATGAGCACCCTCAGCCCCTCAGGGAGCTCTCTCATGGATCCAGAGAAAACTTGAGCAGAGCCAAAAAAATGAAGCAGACAATAATAGCATTTCAAAGGCTCAGAAAACCAAATTATCATTGGAACCACAGCCCACAAAAGAATGTCAAAATTTACATGTTAAACCTAAAAGGAATGACTATCTGCTAAAATAGAAGATAAAAAATGGGATGAAGAACCTCTTAGCATAATATCCAAAATGTTCAAGATAGAATCAAATGTCATTTCTGATACCAAGAAACAGGAAAATTACAACTTGAATGAGAAAAAAAAAAAACAATGGACTGATACAAATACCAAGTTATGGGAAATTTCTGACAAGATTATAAAGCAGCAGCCACAATAAAATTGTTTTAACAAATAATTTTGAATTCCATTGGATCAAAAAAGAAAACCTTAGCAAAGAAACAGATGTTATAAAACAGGAGCAAACTAAAATTATTGAACTAAAAAAATCCAATAACTGAAATAAAAACCTGATGGATGTCCTCAATAGTACAGAGCAGATAACAGAGGACAGAATCAGCTAACTTGAAAACAGAACAATAGAATTTACTCAGTCTGCACAATGGAGAGAAAATAGATGGAAAAAATGAATAGAACATCAGGGACCTGTGTGACTGTAACAAAAGATCTAACTGTTGTATAATTGGAGTACCAAACCAAGAGGAGAAAGAATGTGAACCTAAACATATACTGAAAACAATGATAACTGAAAGCTTTCTGAATTTGGCGAAAGATATAAAACTACATATTCAAAAAACTGAGCAACCATAAATAATTAGAGAAATTATGGCTATAAATATCATACATAAATAGCTTAAAACTAAAGACAAACTTAAGAGCAAGCAGAGCAATAACGCATTATCTATAACAGCATACCGATTCTAATGAAAACATATTTCTCATTTGAAACCATGGAGTTCAGCAGGAAGCAGCACAGCATTTCTCAAGTGTTGAAAAAATACTGTCAAATATTTCTATATCTAGCTAAAGAACTCTTTAGAAATGAATGGGAAATAAAGACATTCTCAAATAAAATCAAAGAAATTTGTTTCTAGAAAAACTACCCTTAAAGAATGGCTAAATGAAGCTCTCAAAGCATAAAAGAAATTATCAAAAGAAGGTGTGGAACTTCAGAAAGGATATTTTTAAAAACAGAATAAAAAATAAGGGAAAATATAATGACTATTCTTCTCCACATGAGTTTTTAAAATTGTATTTGATGGTTGAAGCAAAAGTTATAATATTAGTTGTGTTGGTCAATAAATGTAGAGAAAATACTGATAAAATTACATTTAAAAAGTAGGGAAGATAAAGGGAGATAAAATGGAAGTAATTTTTCAATATTTCATTCAAAGAGTTACAATGACAATATTAGGAGTCTGTAATGAATGATATATAAAAGATCTTCAAAAACTTCATGTAAAACATATATTATAAAAAACCTGTGCATGGATATTAAAATATTTTTGCACAAAAATAAACTCATACTAACTTGCTATACCATGTCTGAACTGGATCTAGTTGGAGGCATTAAGAAAGATAAGTCATCATCTTATTAATCATTTCACCCCAACTGGATCTAGTTGGAGGCATTAAGAAAGATAAGTCAGCTTGAAAGGAGCCTCTATCAGGGCAAAATAAATTCTACTAAAATTGGTGCAAGACCGAACATCTAATTTACTGTGAACCTTGGAAGAATTGGGAAATCATTGAAAGATTATGAGAACAATGTCCCCCCAAAATAAGCAGTTTATAAACTGATATTCATTTTAAGAAGAGAAGAGATGATGTTGAAGATGAAGCCCACGGCAACACACCATCCATATCAATTTGAGAGAAAAAATTCATCTTGTTTGTGCCCTAATTGAAGATGACTGATGACTAACAGCAGAAACAATAGGAAACACCATAGACATCTCAACTGGTTTAGCTTACACAATTCTGACTGAAAAATTAAAGTTGAGCAAACTTCCTACTCAATAGGTACTAAAACCATTGCACCCGGACCAGCTGCAAACAAAGGCAGAACTTTCAATAGAATTTTTAAATAAATGAGATCAAGATCCTGAGAAATTTCTTTGAAGAAATGTAGCAAGAGATGAAACATGGCTTTACTGGCACAATTCTGAAGTCAAAACACAATCTAAGCAATGGTACTAAAAGGTGAAAATGGTCTAGTCCAAGGAAAAGTGGACTGGTCAAGAGCAAAAGTCATGGCAACAGTTTTTTTGCATGCTCAAGGCATTTTGCTTGTTGACTTTCTGGAGAGCCAAAGAACAATAACATCTGCTTACTATAAGAGTGTTTTGAGAAAGTTAGCCAAAGCTTTAGCAGAAAAATGCCCAGGAAAGCTTCACCAGAGAGTCCCTCCCAACCAGTTCAAAGGCCCTGCTCATTTCTCTCATCAAAAAAGGGCAATTTTGCAAGAGTTTCAGTGTGAAATCATGAAGCATCCACCTTACAGTCCTAATTTGGTTTCTTCTTTTTTTGTCTACGAATATTTTTTAAAAATTGTAAAGGGTACCCATATTTTCTCAGTTAATAATGTAAAAAAAAAAAAAAAACTGCATTGACAAGGTTAAGTTCCCAGACTCATCTTCAGTTCTTTAGGAATGGACTAAATGGCTGGTATCATTGCTTACAGAGGTGTCTTGAACTGGATGTAATAATGTTTATATTTTTTACTTATTTTTACTGTCATTTTTCCATGAACTTTTTGAAGTGCTCTCATATGTATGATACCTACAGTAACCATCAAGAAAGCTACAAAGTAATATATTTAACATAATATAAATAAAACAAGATGGGATAACCTAAAAATGCTTAACCCAGAGAAAGGCAAGAAAAGAGAAAAACAGAAATTACCGAAGAAACAAATAAAAAACCAAATAATACAATGGTAGACTTAAGCCCTAATATATCAATAATTACTTTAAATAAAATGGTCTCAATACATCAGAGAACAAAGATTGGCAGATTAAATATATATATAAGTAATATTTTTCATAAGAAACTTTCTTCAAGCAAAACGACACATGTAGGTCAAAGATAAAAAAGATAGAAAAATATCATGCTAATATTATTTTTAAAAACAGCAAGACTGGCTATATTAATACCAGATAAAGTAGACTTCACAGTGAAAAAAATTACTTGGTGAATAAAGGGGACATTTCAATGATCAATCTGGCCAAAACATAATGTTCTTAAATGTATGAATAAAACAACAGAGCTTTAAAATTAAAGTTGAGCAAAGTAAAATTATAACAATAACTTCATATGTTAATAAAGTGCTTTGCATTTACCAAGTGTTTTCATACACATTATAGCATTGGATTCTCAGGAAAATGCTCAGAGATAGGTGAGCAAACATTATTTTTTAAAAATTATTCTCAATAGATTTAAAATACAATGTGGTACCGAGAATCAAAGATATGTACATCATAATCCCTTGTATATTATGTTACATGACAAAGAGGAATTAATGTTGCAGATGAAATTAAGATATTAATTATTTGACCTTAAAATAAGGAGATAAATTATCCTGGATTACCTATGTGGGTCCTATGTGATATAATCACATAGGCCCTTACAATTTTAATGAAGCCAGAAGAGTGGTTCAGACGTATGCAGCAATGGAAGAAGAGGCAGGAGAAACTCAGAGCATAAGAAGAACTTGACCTGCCATCACTGGCTTTAAAGATGAAGAAGGAAGCCATGAACCAAGGAATACAGACAGCCTACAGAAGCTGGGGCTGGCAGTCACTCGACAGCAAGTAAATGAAGACCTCAAAATTACAGCCAAAAGGAACTGAATTCTGACAGCAACCAAAATGAACAAGGAAACAGATTCTCCCTCAGAGCCCCCAGACAGGAATACAGCCTTGCTGACACCTTGATTATAGCCCAGTGAGAACTGTCTTAGACTTCTGACCTGCAGAGCTGTGACAATAGATATGTGCTGTATTAAGCCACTAAATTTGTGGTAATTTATTAGTGCAACATAAGAAACTAATGCATACATGAAACAAAAATTGATAGAGCTGGACATATAAAAAGATAAATCCACAGTTATAGTTGGGACTTCAACACCCTACTCTCAGCAACCGATGGAGCCACTAGACAGAAAATTAGCAAAGATATAGAATAACTGAAAAAGACCATCAATTAACAGGATCTAAATGACATTTATTGAATACTCCACCCAACAGCAGAGTACACATTGTTCTCAAGTACTCATGAAATGTTCATTAAGATAGACTGTATCCTCACTCATAAAGCAAACATTTACAAACTTAGAGGAATTAAAATCCTATAAAACATTTTTTCCAACCATAATTGAATCAAAAGCAATAACAGAAAGATGACAGGAAAAGCCTCAAACACTTGGAAGTTTACAAACACACTTCTATACAACTCATGGGTCACAGAGAAAGTCTAAAATAAAATTTAAAATGCAAGCAATTGAATAAAATGAAAATAAAACATAACAAAATTTGTGGGATGCAGCTGAAGGAGGGCTGACACAGATATGTATAGCCCCAAATGCTTACATTAGAAAATGAGTAGAGTTCAAACTAATAACCAGGTATCTATCTTAAGAAACTAGAAAAGAAGAGCACAATAAAATAAAGCAAACAAGAAGGAAATGATAAAAATAAGAAGAGAAATCAATTAAATGTAAAACAGGAAAACTACATAAAAACAATCACTGAAAGCAAAACCTGATACTTGGAAAAAATCAATAAAATTGATTAAGCCTCTCACAAAATTGGCATAAAATATTTGCAAGCCACATATTGCATAAAGGGTTAGTGCTGTGTATTTCAAAGCTCAGCATCAAAACAACAAAAAGTCCAACTATGAAATGAGCAAAAAACATGAACGGACATTTTACTGAAGGAGACAGAGATGGCAAATAAAAAAGACTTTAACAAAGCTCATGTTACAATAATATTCTTAAGAAATAATGACTGAGCAACTTCAGTACATATTTTCACATACTTTTTATGTTCCTGACACAACAAACCATGAGAATGGCAACTGAGGTAGTCTCTGGCCTTCCTGTATTTAATTTCTATAAACAGATCAAACTAGAATTCCCAAACAGTTATCTCTAAACTTTAATTGTTGAATTCAGGGAGGTTCTCAAGTTGAAAAATTATTGATACATATTTTTAATTATGTAAAAAGAACTCCAATTTGATCCTGGTCTGTAGTAATGATTGGGCCTAAATATTTTAAGTTTAAGTTATTTGATTGAGGCCCTCTGATTGAGCCCCTCAAAGACACTGAAATGTAATAGCAGTTGACCAAGGAAACATTGAAATGTAATAGGAGTTGACCAAGGAAAGTCTTTCCCAATGGAAAGCTGGACAATGGCTAAGGCAATCTTATTAGAGCAGTCCAGAGCTATCAAAAACTTGTTCTTCCTGTGGGGTCCTTGGAATGCTTTCCATCCCTCCCTGGGTATTCCTTTTGGATGATTTTATTGGAAAACATTCACATTGATCTTTGGTTTATTCCATTGCTTCTCTAAGGAGCCAAAGTTAAAAAATGACCTTGAGCTCAAGTAACTTCTAATGTGTCACATCTGGAGGCAGGGAGATAAAGCTCTGTCTGTGGTTGAGAGAAGAAAAAATCCTGCCAAAGCATTGTTCTCAATGGTTTACTGATGAAAATGATAACAATAACTTCATCTGTTAATAAAGTGCTTTGCATTTACCAAGTGCTTTCATACACATTATAGCATTGGATTCTCAGGAAAATGCTCAGGGATAGGTGAGCAAACGTTATTTTTTAAAAATTATTCTCAAATGGAAAAAATAAGGCTCTAAAATATATGTACTTTTTCTAAACTGACCAGCAAGTGTTGCAGATAACACTTAAACTTCAAACCTGTTTTGTAACATTAAAAAAAAAATTAAGATACAAAATGTCATTTCACAGGCCAGCACCCTAAAGTCATTCATTCAAATTTATGAATTTTGACAATTGTGTCCATATGCATTTGCATTTTATATAAAAATCACAACTACAGAATTGTCTTATATATTTTGATATTTATTGTATAATAACAATCTGATCGAGTTGTGGCATGGTTCTTATAATTAGGTTGCCACTCTATAGGGTAAGGAATTATAATTTATCTCACCTTTATCTTACTATGCATGATTTTTTTCTTTGCTTGATTATTTACTTAGGATAAATTCTCAGATCTCTGAAACTTTGTCATAGAGTTTGAAGATTCCACATGTTTAGTGCTGTTAATTATCTCATTCTTCTCAAATAGACATAAAATTTTGCATTGAGACTGGCAATGTCTACATATACAACACAAGCTTATCATAATTCCAAGAATATTTAGAGTTACGATTTTTAAGTTGGCTACATATAAAGGTAAATCTTCCTTTTTTCACTTAACAGAAAATTTTATCTTTTTAACAATTAGCCCATTCTAGTTTGTCATATAATATTTTTAAAATTCATCTCCCAAGGTCTTGATAGTTTTCATAATTTGAATGAGCTACTTTATAATAAAACTTAGTTTCATAACTGATAAAGTTTCAGATTTTTATTTAGTTTTAGCTTTTTATTAGACAGATGTTTTTCGCTTCATTTTCTTCTGTAGCTTTGAGCAGCAGAATCCCCTCACTCCTATCTGTTTTCTGCTTCACTCTGATTGAACTTTATTCTAATGTTATAGCTCTATTTCTAATACATCTGAATATTTTTATAAAGAGTGTGGATCTAACTTTTTAAAATGTATGTTTTTTGTTTTAATGTATTTTATACAGACATAGAATTTAAACAGCAAAATAAATCTATGTGGCTTATTATAAAATATAAGGCCCCTGCTGATATCCTTTCAATATTTTTATTCTTCAGTGTTATGCACTGTTGACACTTGTAGCTATTTTTTCTTGGTATTAATCTCTCTATATATATGAAATGCTTACAAATAGCCATTCTTGATTTATCAGTTTTAGGCATAATCTATTGACTTCCCAAGATGGGACATACAGACTTAACTCTCTTTCTTCCTCCCACATTACTATACACATGCATGCCTCCAGACTTCTAACCCCCCGATAAAGTTACAATTTTATGTTGCTTAGACCAGTCTACTAAGGTTATGTAAATGCTATTTACAATTGAGCCATGCAGCAAGGTATAATTACTTTTCCTATCTTGCATAAATTTCCTTCTCCCTAGATTCAGTGGATGTGTTGTTTACTTTTATTTTCCTTGTTGCCTGTGTTATTATGACTAATTCACCCCTAAACTTTTCCCCAGTGTTCAAATACATCCAGTTTTCTATCTGCTTCATCTTCTTGGAAAACTTTTCTGACTTGCTCTAATCTGGACTGGTTACTCTCTAGGCCTATTACATAGTTTTATCCTAGTATTTCCTTTACTGTTCCTAGTAGTTAGGGTAGGCTGCAATGATAAACAGACTTCCAGAATAGAAAGTTATTTCCTGCTCACGAAACAATCCAAGATGGTGATCCTTGGTTAGTGGGTGCCTCTTCTCCATGTGGTGATTTATGGATCCAGGTTTTTATTTTTAATCTTGTGAATCTACCATCTACTGGGGCCTAGTCATAACCTGCATCCAGCTATCTTAAGGGGAGCCAGAAGAGGCAAAATCATTTGTTGAAAACAGTAGCAAGAAAGTAGCACAATCCATTCCATCCACAAGACAGTCCAGAGGCCACACTTTAATGCATGGGAGTTTGATGTGGAAGCTAAAGCAACTCCATCTTGGATGCTAATCTGCCACGTTGACTTCTGATTCACCTCTGTTCCAGGAAGGCCTCTAAGATTTCCAGTCTATCTGTTGTGCCTTGTGTAAGAACACATACTTATTGTAAACTCTTCCCTTAGGTCAAAACAATCTTGATGTTATCATACTTCAGGTGTCCTACACATTCCTTCTGAACCACATATACCCTTTCCCTATGGTATATAAGCCTCAGATCTGGGGTTAATGGCATGGGGACCCACTATCTCATCTCGTTGCCACTGGGGACAGCATGGCTTCTGTTTGTAAGGCCCTATTAAATATTTCTTACTAAAAAAATTGATTTGTCAGCCTCTTTCTTCTGCTTTTCAGTTTCCTCTAACTTTAGGGGTAGGTTTGCAGAGATCTGCCCACTGAAGAACGTTTGAGGACACAGGAGTTTGGAGATAGGGAAAGGAAAGTGATATTTACTAAATACTACAAATCGGTGCATATCATCATCGAGGGTATTCTTTTTACCACTTGCTACAGTGAGATCCTGTTTCCCAGATCATTTATCTTCTTTCTTGCTTTTACTTTCTAAGTTGGCAGAGAAAATCCTAAAGTAGCTTTCAGAGAAAAGGTAAGTAGGAGGCACATTTTTGGTAATATTGACTGTCCTAAAATGTCTTTATTCTACTCTCACATTTACTTGACAGTTTGAGTACACAATTCTAGATTGGGAAACATTTTTCCTAGAAGTTTTGAAGACATTGGTCTGTTTCTGCAGAGTCCAAAAGCATTCTATTCATAATCTTTAGTATATCTGATTTTTGTTTCCTCTCCAAAAGGTTCAGGATCTTATCTTGGGCACTGGCAGTATGAAATGACAGGATGTGCTCATATTTTAATCTATTTTGCTAGGCACTTCTTATAATTCTATAACTCATTCTCTCCAATTCTGGGAGATACTTATTGATTATTTTATGTTCCTTTTTTGTATTTTGTCTATTTAGAACTATAATTTCAAATATTGGCACTCCTGAGATAATCCTCTACCATTTTTTCTCTCCTATTTACCATTGCTGTTTGTTTTACTTTCTGAGAGAACATCTTAATGTTGGTTTCTAAAACTTCTATTTTAGAACTATTTTATTGTATTTTGTTTTTAATTTTCGGGACGTTTTTTCTTGAGTCATATTCTCCCTTTTTGAAGCACATTATTCTTGTTTCATTGATACAATATTGTCTCATAGCTACTTGGGAAATAATTGTGTTTTTAATTTTTTAGCTCTCTGTATAATCTGTTCCACCAACATTGTTATTTTCTGTTTATTTATGTTAGTCTCTAACTTTTAGGTTAGAGGTTTTGTTAAAATATCTGGTGATCTCTACAGGCTGGTTGGCACTTCTCAGCACTGTGTGTGCTTGTCAACTTTGGGCTTCACTTTAAAGAGTGATCTGACTGGGCTGTGACACTGAAGAAAGCATTGACTTTAGTCTTTTCTTACTGACCATTTACATTCTGCATAGAATAATCTTCAAGTATTTTAAGAAAAGCATAAGACAGGCTCTTTTGCTTTCTGAGAGCAGAGTGGGAGAAGAATGGTATGGGAGCACCTAACATTCAGTAGGCAAGCTTTAACTAAATCCCTCAATCTGCAATAAGATTTGCCTTCCTTCAAAATGTGTCTGATACTCCCAACCCAGAGACACTCAACTTTACCTCTCTAGAGAATAAACTTCCAGTCTTCTGCCAGGGTGAGGGACAACAACTCTTCCAGCTGCACAGAGGATGAGGAATCTGGTGATTTAACTGAGTCTAAAAAAATAATTGAATCCAACTTCCTGTTTTCAACAACCTCTTCATACACTCCATCCTGTCCTCTCCAGAGATACGTGGTGCTGACAATTTCTGAGCCTCTTGTGAGATCTGCGGTACAGATTGAGTAGCTGCTCAATTTTCTCCATTGCTGACTTAAGATTCAGTATTCTCAGGTCAGTTAAATGTCTTAGCACTCATCTTTTAATTTCTATCTTCCAAAAATTTGTTGCTAATGCAATTTCTCATTTCTTTTGTCCTTTTGCATTTTTATGCTTAGAAAATCTTTCAGTGCCTTACTAAAGAGTGGAGGTAATTGTATCAATCCTTGATCATCAACACAGAAATCTTTAATATAATTTTTCATTTTCAAAACTGCTATCTATCAGATCACCATTTAATGAAAAATCCTTAATTTCTTCTTGTTGGAAGGGTTCCTTGAAACATTAAATTAATTCTTTTTCTGGAATTCATACTCTAACAAACTGATCCATTTTTATACCAGTATCATAATGTGCAATATTTTGCTATTTTAGAATATATTATTATATCCAGTAGTTGCTCAGTACAAGCTAGTGCTCTCTCTTCCTTGCTTCATTTATTCAGGTAATCCATGTGGAAAGAACTCTGTTAAGACTCATCATGCAAGCAACTTGCCAATAATACCACATGTAGATTTTTTTGTTTGTTTTAAAAGATAGACGTGTTCTTAAAATTAGTTCCATTAATCATCCCTCTTCCAGGAACATGTCAGCCAAGAGTGTGTCTATTCCAGGCTTAAAGATTAGAAATCCCCTGGGCCGACAGTTTACCATGGAATAAGACCCATTCACTAAAGCCTAATCTTCTCCAATAGGAAACAAATATATAACTGCACACACACCTCCCTAAATCATATGTATCTTACTTAGATTGCTGCCTCTTTGAAGCACAGTGAGATTTACTGATTTAAAATATCAACGTAGTTTGTCAGACATGGACTTTAGCAATCTCAGTAACATCTCCTTACCATATTAAAGATTAAAACGTGAATCAGCTTTGTAAATTCCCAGGAAAATAAGGACTCTAGTGCCATTTCTGATTTCCTGGGGTTCTCCTTTATGGACATAGTCATTTAGTTTTTGCTTTAACAGACCTTCCTTATTGTGGAGATGAATTATAAAAATTGTCTTCTACACTGTTCTTCTTCAATACAAATATGTTACCAAGAGTAAGTAACATTTACACATATAGAACTAATTATTAATCCCATATAGATTTATTAAGGAAAAAAATGTTTTATTTGCCTTTACTACAATCCTTCTCCCATCCTATTTGGCAAATAAACATTAATCACATAATCTTCTTTGAGCTATAGCTAACACAACTATGCTCACTCACTAGACCAAGTAATTGCTATATCCTTCCAACGGCTTCTTAGTGCTAAAGCTCATTATCTGTAGCTATGATAGCCACTAAAATATATGGACCAGAACAAGGACTAATGGTTACATGAAAGAAAAACCCATAAGTCTCATAGTTGAGGTAGTGGCAAGGAAGATCAATAACTATGAAAAGAATTATGAGAAACAATGATTCCATATCTGTGAGAAATATTACCACATGTATTATACTCCTGGGGATGAGAATTCAATTGTTTCTAAAATAAATTTTTCTTAGTTTTAAATTTTTCTTTCTTACTCCAGGTCATATTCATCCTAGAGGTTGTGTGATTCTTAGCTTATTCATGGGATCACTCAGAGACATTAAAACAATGGTGTGAACTTATTGGAACATTTCCCTCCTAATCTCACTGGAAAAGTATAAAGTTTTTAATGGCCTACTTATGGTTCTCAAAAATTTGATTTAGGGTGGGAAATATTGGACTAAACTACTTTTTTTGCAGTCAAAATCACATACCAAAAAGAAGATAGTCTCTGAAAATTGGGAGCTTAGGGTCCAAAAATAAAATGTAATCCAAATGTTTACTAAGAGACTAGGCAGAGACAATATTCTCAGCCCACCCCACCCACTCACACTTCCACCAAAAGGAGATTCTCAATGAGACAGTTGCAAATGTTGATAGGACTAAGACTCATTAAAATAGGTGATCCTTGCAAGAACAAAGTTAAAATAAAGCAGCTAAAGTAAAAATCAAGGGGGCACTCAAGAATGACCTGGTCTTTTCCCCACAAATATGACTCCTCTCAAGTCCAGCTGTTTGATTTTGTTGACTTTGAAGACAGTCATCAGAGGATGAGTAACACCAACCCTTCCAGTTCAAGGTTTCTGAATTCTTTCCCTTTGGTCTTCACTTCAGAGGCATCCAAGAACAATACACATCCCAATCATCCTCTGGGCTATAGAGCCAAATCTAGACAGTATTCCATTTCAGGAAATGAGCTTCTTTTCCTCTGCCTTTTGCTCCTGCTTAGGCATACTTACCCAATGGGAAGAGATGATCAAAACATTTACATATGTTTGCCCAGTGTTTTTCACAAAAGGAAAAATAATCTTCTTCATTAAATAAAAAAAGCAGCAAACTTAATGAGAGTAGGTTTTCCCTGTCATGGTCATTTTCCCTGGCTTCTGCAACAGAGCTGACACAGGTATTTCTGACATTGTCTAGGTCCATTAACATAGCTATTTGGTAAACTGAATCATAAGAATCAGGGCCAGCTAATTTTGCACAGAGTCAATTTTAGTCTTGTGCTAAATTCCCCATTACAAAACCATTGCCAAAAAATAATGTGATTTATCTTTCAGGAAAGACTCGGGGTGGCAGGGAAGTGTAATGAGGAAACGGAGAAGGGTTTATATGAGTCAATTTTTGGAAAAGTCTGAACAAATAATAATCAAGCTAATGGCAACTAGCAGGATACACCCTAATGATTCTGGACAAGTAATGCCTTAGAACAAACATAAATAGATTGAGTTTTAAGGTTTTAATGTTTAAGGATTGACCTTCTAAATTAAACACACATATACGTACACACACACACACACACATCCAGTTTTTTAAATTAGTCATAGAATAACAAGAATCAATACATACATAAGAGATAAAGGTGAATTAAAGAAAAAGAGAGAGGCTCAACTTGGTTGAAATAGATGTAGATGCTTATCCCAGATCTCTAACCACCTGTTTAATGTTAGAAAAGTTATAAACTCTTTATACTACAGATTTTCTCATTTAGCAATTTGGTTTAGGAGAAGCGACAGGCTTCAAAGTTAAGTCTTTGCCACGCCACTTAGTAGCAGAAACTTTGGGCAAATTATTTAACTTACTATTGCCTTAGATTCCTTCTATATAAGTGGAGATATTAAACTTTATTGATTGTCATGGAGGAATAAATGAGATAATACTTGAAAGGGCCTTCTATGAACTTAAAAGCATGCAATGAATATTAAGTATATATGAGTGTGTTAACATACTACATATTCATATATCAATGATGGAAATACAGTATAGTTTTGGCATAAACCTTTTAAAAGGCAATTTGAATAAAGAGTAATAAAATATTTCGTACCAGTTGATTTATACATTTACATACGGGAATCTATTCCAAGAAAATAATCCAGTTTGAACAAAACTTTATTCATAAATGTGCATTACTTACAGTAGCCAGACAATTGGGCTAAGCCCTAATGTGCAATGGCAGGAGAACAGTACACCTGTATGATAGTAATTACACAATCTTTAAAATCTCGTGTTTTTAATAAACGTTAATTGGCATGAAAACGGAGATCGTAAAATTGTAAACACATTAGGATACAATTTACAACTCATGCATGATTTTGTGTGTGTATGCACACATACACACTCTCCAACAATGGAAGAAAGTATCTCAAATTATGGACAGTTTGGTTTTCTTTATGTGATATAGATTTATGGGTGACTTTTATTTATAGTAATTCATGAGTTACTTTTTAGAAAACTTGGATTACTTATTCACAGAAGAAATGTTACATAAAACATTGTAAATTTTCAATTTTATAATCTGTTAGGCAGTGAGGGGTCCGCTTTCCTCACCTTTGAAGGCCCAAGTAAGGAAATAAGTGAGAAAGAGCTTTGAGTAGGTAATAGGGAGCTACTGTTTCCTCCATTTATGTTTCCTTCATTTTTATTCCAGTCAGTGGTGTGGAGATTGCATGATTTGGAAAATGGTCTCTTTGTAGCTCAGTGTTTGTAAGCTATGGGCTGCAAATACAAATATACATCAATCACTGTGAGTTGACTGAATAAATTATATGTATTGTACATGTATGGGAAACTAATTTTTTCAAATACATTTACATGCAATTGTGGTTAATAAACTACAAGTCCATTTAAAATGGTTATCAAATTCATGGCAGAATTTTTAAAAATCAGAATGTATTCCAATAACATGACCAGGTGGAGTGTGTTTCCCCACCTAGCAATTGCAGCAGTCCCGTTTATCAGCGGGGGATACGTTTCACGACCCTTGGTGTATGCCTAAAACCATGGATGGTACCAAGCCCCATATATATTAAGCACAAATTTCTCTTTCTTCTTCAAAATTTCACACATAGAAGACTTCATTCTCGTGTAGATCATAGCAACCTCAGCATACATTTTTTCCCCCTATGTTGAGAACTTTTACATTTTTACACAAGGAATGCACCTTATGGCTTCTCTCTGGCATATCCAAATTGCCAGCATCACTACCCTTGCACTTTGGGGCTATCATGAAGTAAAATAAAGGTTACTTGAAACAAGCACAGCAATACTATGTCAGTCAGTTTGATAATGGAGAAGGCTACTAAGTGACTCACATGCAGAGGAGCATCAACAGTATGGAGATGCTAGACAAAGGGACGATTCACATCCAGGATGGGATGGAATGTGACAGCGAGATTTTGTCATGTTTCTCATAATTTAAAACCTATTAATTATTTCTGAAATTTTCTATTTAATATTTTTAGGTTGCTGTTGACTCCGGGTAACTAAAACCACAAAAAGTAAAACCATGAATAAGGTAGGACTATTGTATCTAACTGGGTGTCCTGCAATTCAATTCAATTCTGACACTAACTGAGGTTAGTGGAGACCCCACAGGTTAAGGACTTGACCCCATGCAACTGTCTTCCACTTCAGAAGCAAACCACAAGGAGTAGGTTGCCAGGTTATCCACGTCTGCTGACTTGGCTACAAATTAGAGGTTCCTATGACCCCCTTCTCAGGTTTGATTTGCTAGAATGGCTCAAAGAACCCAGGGAAACAATTTTACTTACCAGTGCTGATTTATTACAAGATTCTTTTTTGAGGATAGTATCATTAATTTAAGTTTTAATTTTTTTACTTTAATTTTTATCATATATATTTAAGGTACACATCATGATGTTTATATATATGTGTGTGTGTATATATATAATATATATATACACACACACATATATATGGAGTAAAATGATAACTATAGCCAAGCTAATTGACATATCCATCACTTCATGTTTTCTCTTGTTGTGGATAAGACAAGCCCAAATCCATTCTCTTAGCACATTTTCAGTATACAATACAGTATTGTTAACTACAGTCCTCATGCTGCTGCACATTAGATGTCTACATCTATTCATCCTGTATAACTGCAAGTGACCTACTCCTCCCTGTTTCCTCTGCTCCACCACTTGCTCCTGGTAATCACCATTCTATTCTCTGTTTCTATGCATTTGGTGTTTTTTTGTTGTTGTTGTTTTGGTTTGTTTTTTTTAAGATTCCACATAGAAATGAGATCATTCATGCAGTATTTTTCTTACGTCTGGCTTCTTTCATTTCATATAACCTCCTCCAGTTTTACCTATATTGTCACAAATAGTAGTATCTCTTTCTATTTTTTTTTAGACGAAGTCTCACTCTGTCACCCAGGCTGGAGTGCAGTAGCGCGATCTCGGCTCACTGCAACCTCTGCCTCCCGGGTTCAAGCGATTCTCCTGCTTCAGCCGCCTGAGTAGCTGGGACTACAGGTGCCCGCCACCATGCCCGACTAATTTTTGTATTTTAAACGGGGTTTCACCATGTTGTGCAGGAAGGTCTCGATCTCCTGACCTCATGATCTGCCTGCCTAGGCCTCCCAAAGTACTGGGATTACAGGTGTGAACCACCACGCCCAGCCCTCTTTCTCTTTTAAGATGGATGGATGGGTGGGTGGAGCCAAGATGGCTGAATAGAAACAGCTCCAGTCTACAGCTCCCAGCATGAGCGACACAGAAGACAGGTGATTTCTACATTTCCAACTGAGGTACCAGGTTCTTCTCACTGGGGAGTGTCAGCTAGTGGGTGCAGGACAGTGGGTGCAGTACACCGAGCATGAGCTGAAGCAGGGTGAGGCATCACCTCACCTGGAAAGTGCAAGGGGTCAGGGAATTCCCTTTCCTAGTCAAAGAAAGGGGTGACAGATGGCACCTGGAAAATCGGGTCACTCCCATCCTAATACTGCGCTTTTCCAATGGTCTTAGCAAACAGTACACCAGGAGATTATATCCAGCTCCTGGCTCGGGGGGGTCCTACGCCCATGGAGCCTCGCTCATTGCTAGCACAGCAGTCTGAGATCAAACTGAAAGGTGGCAGTGAGGCTGGGGGAGGGGCGCTCACCATTGCCGAGGCTTAAGTAGGTAAACAAAGTGGCCGGGAAGCTCAAACTAGGTGGCCCACTGCAGCTCAAGGAGGCCTGCCTGCCTGCCTCTCTAGACTCTGCCTCTGGGGGCAGGGCATAGCCAAACAAAAGGCAGCAGAAACCTCTGCAGACTTAAATGTCCCTGACTGACAACTTTGAAGAGAGCAGTGGTTCTCCCAGCACGCAGCTTGACATCTGAGAACGGACAGACTGCCTCCACAAGTGGGTCCCTAACCCCCAAGTAGCCTAACTGGGAGGCACCCCCCAGTAGGGGCAGACAGACACCTCACACGGCCAGGTACTCCTCTGAGACAAAACGTCCAGAGGAATGATCAGGCAGCAACATTTGCTGTTCACCAATATCCACTGTTCTGCAGCCTCTGCTGCTGATACCCAGGCAAACGGGGTCTGGAGTGGACCTCCAGTAAACTCCAACAGACCTGCAGCTGAGGGTCCTGACTGTTAGAAGGAAAACTAACAAACAGAAAGGACATCCACACCAAAAACCCATCTGTACATCACCATCCTCAAAGACCAAAGGTAGATAAAACCACAAAGATGGAGAAAAAACACAGCAGAAAAACTGGAAACTGTAAAAATCAGAGGGCCTCCATCCTCCAAAGTAATAGAGCTCCTCGCCAGCAACGGAACAAAGCTGGATGGAGAATGCCTTTGACGAGTTGAGAGAAGAAGGCTTCAGACAATCAAACTACTCTGAGCTAAAGGAAGAAGTTTGAACCCATGGCAAATAAGTTAAAAACCTTGAAAAAAATTAGACGAATGGCTAACTAGAAAAACCAATGCAGAGAAGTCCTTAAAGGATCTGATGGAGCTGAAAACCACGGCACGAGAACTATGTGACAAATGCACAAACCTCAGTAGCTGATTCGATCAATTGGAAGAAAGGGTATCAGTGATGGAAGATCAAATGAATGAAATGAAGCAAGAAGAGAAGTTTAGAGAAAAAAGAATAAAAAGAAACGAACAAAGCCTCCAAGAAATATGGGACTATGTGAAAAGACCAAATCTACGTCTGACTGGTGTACCTGAAAGTGACGGGGAGAATGGAACCAAGTTGGAAAACACTCTGCAGGATATTATGCAGGAGAACTTCCCCAATCTAGCAAGGCAAGCCAACATTCAAACTCAGGAAATACAGAGAACGCCACAAAGATACTCTTCAAGAAGAGCAACTCCAAGACACATAATTGTCAGATTCACCAAAGTAGAAATGAAGGAAAAAATGTTAAGGGCAGCCAGAGAGAAAGGTCAGGTTACCCACAAAGGGAAGCCCATCAGACTAACAGCTGATCTCTCGGCAGAAACTCTACAAGCCAGAAGAGAGTGGGGGCCAATATTCAACATTCTTAAAGGAAAGAATTTTCAACCCAGAATTTCATATCCAGCCAAACTAAGCTTCATAAGTGAAGGAGAAATAAAATACTTTACAGACAAGCAAATGCTGAGAGATTTTGTCACCACCCTGCCCTAAAAGAGCTCCTAAAGGAAGCACTAAACATGGAAAGGAACAACCGGTAACAGCCACTGCAAAAACATGCCAAATTGTGAAGACTATCGATGTTAGGAATAAACTGCATCAACTAACCAGCAAAATAACCAGCTAACATCATAATGACAGGATCAAATTCACACATAACAATATTGACCTTAAATGCAAATGGGCTAAATGCTCCAATTAAAAGGCACAGACTGGCAAATAGGATAAAGAGTCAAGACCCATCAGTGTGCTATACTCAGGAAACCCATCTCATGTGCAGAGACACACATAGGCTCAAAATAAAGGGATGGAGGAAGATCTACCAAGCAAATGGAAAACAAAAAAAGGCAGGGGTTGCAATCCTAGTCTCTGATAAAACAGACTTTAAACCAACAAAATCAAAAGAGACAAAGAAGGCCATTACATAATGGTAAAGGGATCAATTTAAGAAGAAGAGCTAACTATCCTAAATATATAGGCACCCAACACAGGAGCACCCAGATTCATAAAGCAAGTCCTTAGAGACCTATAAAGAGACTTAGACTCCCACACAATAATAATGGGAGACTTTAACACCCCACTGTCAACATTAGACAGATCAATGAGACAGAAAGTTAACAAGAATATTCAGGAATTGAACTCAGATCTGCACCAAGCAGACCTAATAGACATCTACAGAACTCTCCACCCCAAATCAACAGAATATACATTCTTTTCAGCACCACACCACACCTATTCCAAAATTGACCACATAGTTGGAAGTAAAGCACTCCTCAGCAAATGTAAAAGAACAGAAATTATAACAAACTGTCTCTCAGACCACAGTGCAATCAAACTAGAACTCAGGATTAAGAGACTCACTCAAATCCGCTCAACTACATGGAAACTGAACAACCTGCTCCTGAATGACTACTGGTTACATAACGAAATGAAGGCAGAAATAAAGATGTTCTTTGAAACCAACGAGAACAAAGACACAATATACCAGAATCTCTGGGACACATTCAAAGCAGTGTGTAAAGAGAAATTTATAGCACTAAATGTCCACAAGGGAAAGCAGGAAAGATCTAAAATTGACACCCTAACATCACAATTAAAAGAACTAGAGAAGCAAGAGCAAACACATTCAAAAGCTAGCAGAAGGCAAGAAATAACTAAAATCAGAGCAGAACTGAAGGAAATAGAGACACAAAAAAACCTTCAAAAAATCAATGAATCCAAGAGCTGGTTTTTTCAAAAGATCAACAAAGTTGATAGACTGCTAGCAAGACTAATAAAGAAGAAAAGAGAGAAGAATCAAATAGACGCAATAAAAAATGATAAAGGGGATATCACCACCGATCCCACAGAAATACAAACTACCATCAGAGAATACTATAAATATCTCTACGCAAATAAACTAGAAAATCTAGAAGAAATGGATACATTCCTCGACACATACACCCTCCCAAGACTAAACCAGGAAGAAGCTGAATCTCTGAATAGACCAATAACAGGCTCTGAAATTGAGGCAATAATTAATAGCTTACCAACCAAAAAAAGTCCAGGACCAGATGGATTCACAGCCAAATTCTACCAGAGGTACAAGGAGGAGCTGGTACCATTCCTTCTGAAACTATTCCAATCACCAGAAAAAGAGGGAATCCTCCCTAACTCATTTTATGAGGCCAGCATCATCCTGATACCAAAGCCTGGCAGAGACACAACCAAAAAAAAGAATTTTAGACCAATATCCCTGATGAACATCGATGCAAAAATCCTCAATAAAATACTGGCAAACCAAATCCAGCAGCACATCAAAAAGCTTATCCACCATGATCAAGTGGGCTTCATCCCTGGGATGCAAGGCTGGTTCAACATATGCAAATCAATAAACGTAATCCAGCATATAAACAGAACCAAAGACAAAAACCACATGATTATCTCAACAGATGCAGAAAAGGCCTTCGACAAAATTCAACAACACTTCATGCTAAAAACTCTCAATAAATTAGGTATTGATGGGATGTATCTCAAAATAATAAGAGCTATCTATGACAAACCCACAGCCAATATCATACTGAATGGGCAAAAACTGGAAGCATTCCCTTTGAAAACTGGCAC
Organism: Homo sapiens; assembly: GCF_000001405.40. Lineage (NCBI taxonomy): Eukaryota > Metazoa > Chordata > Mammalia > Primates > Hominidae > Homo > Homo sapiens. The sequence goes on along the minus strand of NC_000002.12, from coordinate 18,694,265 downwards.
AAGACAGGGATGCCCTCTCTCACCACTTCTATTCAACATAGTGTTGGAAGTTCTGGCCAGGGCAATCAGGCAGGAGAAGGAAATAAAGGGTATTCAATTAGGAAAAGAGGAAGTCAAATTGTCCCTGTTTGCAGACGACATGATTGTATACCTAGAAAACCCCATCCTCTCAGCCCAAAATCTCCTTAAGCTGATAAGCAACTTCAGCAAAGTCTCAGGATACAAAATCAATGTGCAAAAATCACAAGCATTCTTATACACCAATAACAGACAAACAGCCAAATCATGAGTGAACTCCCATTCACAATTGCTTCAAAGAGAATAAAATACCTAGGAATCCAACTTACAAGGGATGTGAAGGACCTCTTCAAGGAGAACTACAAACCACTGCTCAATGAAATAAAAGAGGATACAAACAAATGGAAGAACATTCCATGCTCATGGGTAGGAAGAATCAATATCGTGAAAATGGCCATACTGCCCAAGGTAATTTATAGATTCAATGCCATCCCCATCAAGCTACCAATGAATTTCTTCACAGAATTGGAAAAAACTACTTTAAAGTTCATAGGGAATCAAAAAAGAGCCCGCATTTCCAAGTCAATACTAAGCCAAAAGAACAAAGCTGGCGGCATCATGCTACCTGACTTCAAACTATACTACAAGGCTACAGTAACCAAAACAGCATGGTACTGGTACCAAAACAGAGATATAGACCAATGGAACAGAACAGAGCCCTCAGAAATAATGCCACATATCTACAACTATCTGATCTTTGACAAACCTGACAAAAACAAGAAATGGGGAAAGGATTCCCTATTTAATAAATGGTGCTGGGAAAACTGGCTAGCCATATGTAGAAAGAAGAAACTGGATACCTTCCTTACACCTTATACAAAAATTAATTCAAGATGGATTAAAGACTTAAATGTTAGACCTAAAACCATAAAAACTCTAGAAGAAAACCTTGGCAATACCATTCAGGACATAGGCATGGGCAAGGACTTCATGTCTAAAACACCAAAAGCAATGGTAACAAAAGCCAAAATTGACAAATGGGATCTAATTAAACTAAAGAGATTCTGCACAGCAAAAGAAACCACCATCAGAGTGAACAGGCAACCTACAGAATGGGAGAACATTTTTGCAATCTACTCATCTGACAAAGGGCTAATATCCAGAATCTACAAGGAACTCAAACAAATTTACAAGAAAAAAACAACCCCATCAACAAGTGGGCAAAGGATATGAACAGACACTTCTCAAAAGAAGACATTTATGCAGCCAAAAGACACATGAAAAAATGCTCATCATCACTGGCCATCAGAGAAATGCAAATCAAAACCACCATGAGATACCATCTCACACCAGTTAGAATGGTGATCATTAAAAAGTTAGGGAACAACAGGTGCTGGAGAGGATGTAGAGAAATAGGAACACTTTTACACTGTTGGTGGGACTGTAAACTAGTTCAACCATTGTGGAAGTCAGTGTGGCAATTCCTCAGGGATCTAGAACTAGAAATACCATTTGATCCAGCCATCCCATTACTGTGTATATACCCAAAGGATTATAAATCATGCTGTTATAAAGACACATGCACATGTATGTTTATTGAGGCACTATTCACAATAGCAAAGACTTGGAACCAACCCAAATGGCCAACAATGATAGACTGGATTAAGAAAATGTGGCACATATACACCATGGAATACTATGCAGCCATGAAAAAGGATGATTTCATGTCCTTTGTAGGGACATGGATGAAGCTAGAAACCACCATTCTCAGCAAACTATCGCAAGGACAAAAAACCAAACACCACATGTTCTCACTCATAGGTGGGATTGAACAATGAGAACACATGGACACAGGAAGGGGAACATCACACACTGGGTCCTGTTGTGGGGTGGGGGGAGGGGGGAGGGATAGCATTAGGAGATATACCTAATGCTAAATAACGAGTTAATGGGTGCAGCACACCAACATGGCACATGTATACATATGTAACAAACCTGCACAGTGTGCACATGTACCCTAAAACTTAAAGTACAATAATGAAAAAAAAAGATGGATGGATGGATGGATGGATAGACAGACAGATACCATTTTCTTTATCCATTTATCTATTGATGAACACTTACGTTGTTTCCTTATCTTGGCTATTGTGAATAAAGCTGTGATGCACATCAGAGTGTAGAAATGTCTACAAGGTGTTGATTCCATTAATTTGGGGCATATAATCAGAAAAGGAACCACTGGGTCACAAGAGTTTTAATTTTGACTCTCACCAACACTTGCTATCTCTTGTCTTTTTGATAATAGCCATGCTAACAGATGTGAAACTATATCTCATTGTGGTTTTTATATTTATCTGATGATTACTGATGGTGAGCACCTTTTCATATACCTGTTGGATATTTTTATGTGTTCAGAAAAATGTCCAGATTTTTGCTCATTTTTTAAACTTTTTTTTTGCTATTGTGTGACTTCCTTATATATTTTGGGAGTTAATCTCTTATCAGATGTATAGTTTGCAAATATTGTCTCCCAAACCATAAGCTGTCTTTTTCTTTTGCTATTTGGAGAACCTTTTTAGTTTGATATAGTCCCACTTATTTATTTTTGTTTTTATTCACTGAGCTTTTGTTGTGAAATCCAAAAACTAATTGCCAAGGGCAATGTCAAGAAGCTTTTCCTCTGTATATTTTCTTCCAGGAATTTTTACAGTTTTAGATCTTATACTGAGGTTTTTAATACATTTTGATTTGATTTTTGTGTAGGATACCATTTAAGGATCCAGTGTCATTCTTTTCATGTACATACCCAATTTTCCCATTTCCACTTGTTGAATCCTTTCACCATTTTTGCTTTATTGGTGGTCTTGTCAAAATTTAGTTGATTGTATATGCTTGGGTTTATTACTGAGTTCTCTATTCTGTTTCATCAGTCTTTGTGTCTGTTATTTTTTACAAAGGATATTTTAAAGGATACCAATCAACAGCCAGATGAAGGCATATATAGGGCAAGGTTTGGAAAAGTCCTGAGTGTAGGAACTTCTGTGCCCATGTACTTAGGGGTACACAACCCTTCTGGTACATGGACGTATTCTTGTTCACCATCCTTGAAGCTCTCTAAACCCTGTAGTTCAATACTTTTTATGGCAGCTTCATCACATAGGCATGATTGATTATTAATTTAATCTCTAGCCCCTTTCTCCTTCATGAAGGATGGGAAGTGGGGTGCAAATTCCAAGCTTCTAATCATGCTTGGTCTTTCTGTTGATAACAGTTACTTCATTCGAAAAAAAAATAAGATGCTTATATCACCCAGAACACTCCAAGGAACTAGGTGCCCTGTCTCAGGAACTGGGAACAAAGACCAAAATATATATTTCTTATTCTAAATCACGATATCATACCAGGCTTCTATAAAAGGTAGCAAAACCTGCTCTTTTACAGCCTTTTTGCAAATGAAAGGAAAAGAGCCAAGCATTTCCCAAGTGTTTTTCAAAAGATTTTGGAAATTTACACATTTATGTGATATCTCCCCATTTTTATAATCAAATAAATCAAATATAAAACACTGTGTGGGCCAACTCTGGGAGAGCCAAACTAAACACCCTGAGGCCAGGTCCAGCTAGCAAGCTGCCAGTTTGCTACCTCTGGCTGAGGATGCAGAATGGGGACTTGCGTGTATCTGCTGTGGCGCCCCCTTGCTGCCACCCTGGCTGCTTTCAATACGCTTTCAATATGCTGCAGGTGGGTGCTGACAGCGCGTGTGCTGATTCCAAAGCTGTAGAAGGGGTCTGAGTAGGGCCACTTTCCTGAAAAGCCCTTTGACTAGGGCAGTCCTTCTCCTCGAACTGTATCCTTATTAAATGTGTTCTGTGCCAGCTCTGAAGGGGACAGGAAAGAATCAGTTGGATGGGGAAGGATAGGATTCTCCAGGCAGAAGTAGTGTCACGCCAATCTCTGTCCCCAGTAGCGGAAGTTTGGGCACTTCCTCAAACTTCCTGAACCTCCCAGCTTAGGTCTCTGTCCCATACAGGAAGGGAAACTTACCTTCCTTCTGATACGAAATAGGGAGCATGCCTACAGTTCGGGGACACAATGTTGTCCCCGAATGTGCAATGTTGTCATGAACAAAAGCACATGCAGGAGGTGGGCATGCCAAGGTTCTTGTACCACCATTAAGACAGAGCCTTTATAGGATCCAGTGCCATCTCCTGAGAAACCCCAAAACTACAATTACACAGCTGGGACCATTCATCACTGTACCCTTGAGAGCAAAAAGAGAATTTGAAATTATAGTTGAAATGGGCAGAAAACTACTACTGTAAAATATTATTTCCAGAAATCCCAAATTGTCATAATTTGGCTTTCAACCTAAAAAGGGAAAAAAACAAAAAATATAACATCCCATGGCTTCAAAATTTCCTGCTACATTCCAGATGCCTCACAATGAAAAGAAAAAAATATATACACTTATATATATGTATATATACACACACACACACACTCACACTCTTTGGATTTGGATAACAGTGGCCTAGCTGATCTTGGCTTTCCTGACAGTTCATTAGAATACACTTTTCAAAATCCATATTAATATGCTAAATGGAACTTTGTTAGACAGAAAATTCCACAAGCCCACCTGGTCCCAGAGGTAGGTGTCAACGTGATTAAATTTCCCCAGAAAATCTGTGGGCTTATCCAAGGGCACCAGCCAGAACACCTGGGCATTTCTGGCCATTCCTAACCCAACTGAAATCCTAGCTGCATTCTGTGGAACTCTATAGGTAAGTAAAGCTTGCTGAAAAATGAGAGTTTCTTTCTGTGGTTACATTTTGTGTGGGGTTTACAAGGGTATATTCATCTTAACACTTTCCTTAAGTACTGGGCATCTGTTACCTCAAGGTACGTGTACCTGAGCATACGCTTTGTGTGAGGTGCTACGTATTTGTTAGAGCTACAAAAAAGACTAATCCCTGTCTTTAAAGAGCTCACAATCTAAAGAGTCCATGTCTTTAAAGAGCTCCTTTCTGATCCCAAGTTTCCCCTTCAGTAAATGTGGGAGCTGGATTAATATTTCTGAACTCACTTTCTGGAATTCTACAATGTAGTTTCAAAGGATTTTATAGCCAGCTTCTCAATGGCACCTGCCTCCCTTTTTTCAGGTGAAATATGGAGCACAGAACACATGTTGCAGCCCTGCAGAACAAGCAGAAGAGGGTAGCATAGGTCCCAGCTCAGGGCTTTGGGTTGGCCTCCTGCAGCGAGGATGGAAGGGTTCAACCTTGCCAGATTTATCTGTGATCCATCCACCCCACCATCCTGGAATCATTCTGTGGGCCATCTTGCTCCCCTCACATGTTTTTATCTTGAGAGAATATTTCAAGTCGCTGACAGCCTATTACTTTTAGATTTGCTTTGCTGTTGCTATTTGTGTCACAGTTTCATTGGCCATTTTTGAGCATTACTTTAAGTAGGAAGGTCACTAGTACCTGTGTTGGTGAGTGAAAGAGAAAGGCTAAATACATGGCTAGGAAACAGTAAAGGAAGAGTTGGAAAGATTAGCTATATAGATATCAAGAGCAACTTTGCAGAGAAACACATCATAGTAGTGCTACAAGATACTAGAGAACAAAAATCACTTGTCTTCACTTTGCTTAATTTTATCTGTAATAAAAATGTTATTTTAAATAACTTACACAGCTGAAAAGAATTCTGGGGTCCTTTAAACCATATTTTACACTCAAGAGTACAATAATAGAATTTTCCCACATGTAATATGCCCAAGTTTGGGGAGAGGCAGATCAAGATGTAATAGAAAGCTCCACAGATCACCCCCCACACAAGTACACCAAGTTAAGAACTATCTACACAGAAAAAAAACACATTCATAAGAACCAAAAATCAGGTGAGCACTCACAGTACCTGGTTTTAACTTCATATCACTGAAAGAGGCACTGAAGAAACAGGAAAACATTCCTGGATCACCAACTCCGCTCCCCGACCCCAGCAGTGGTGGTGTGGTGCAGAGAGCATCTCTGGGCACTGGGAGAAAGAAGAACACAGCAATTGTGAGGCATTAAACTCAGCTGTGTCCTGTTAGAGCCAAAGGGAAAACCAGATCAAACTCAGCTGCGGACTGCCCACAGAGGGAGCATTTAAACCAGCCTCAGCCAGAGGGAAATTGCCAATTTCAAAGGTCTGAAATTGAGTGTCCACAAGCCTCACCACCTACGGCCAAAGTGCTCTTGGTCTCTAAGTAAACTTGAAAGGCGGTCTAAGCCATAAAGACTGCAACTCATAGGCTAGTCCTAGGGCTGAACTAGGCTGACAGACCGTGAACTGGGGGGCATGTGACATACTGAGGTACCAGCTGGGGCAGCCAAGGGAGTGATGACATCACTCCGGCCCTAATGCCAGGCTGCACAGCTCATGGCTCCAAAAGAGACCCCTTCCTTCTGCTTGAGGTGAGGAAAAGGAAGAGTGTCTTGCGTCTTTTGGGGTATACACCTAAAAGCAGAATTGCTGAGTGATATAGAAATTCTATGATTAATATTTAGAAGCACTACCAAAGTGTTTTCCAAAGTGGCTGCACCATTTTCCATTCCCACCAGCACTGTATGAGGATTCCAATTTCTCCACAATCTTGTCAACACCTGTATCTCATTTAATTTTTGTTTAATTTTCACACAACCCTGCTAGATACAACTTCTATTATTAGAGACCTTAGTAGTAGGCTGAATACGTTGTCACCTGCCCAAATTTCACAGTGCACTTAGGTATGTTAGAGTCAAGATTCAAAATAGAAGGAAAGCCTGATTTCTGGCACTTGGATTATAGCTCTCTCATACAAAAACTTTAATTTAGAAGATAGGTTTCATCTGAGTGGCCTGGGTTGGATCTGAGTCGTCCTCACTTTACAACCACATGATCTCCCTATCAGTGGTTTTGGCTATTAATGAACTTCCCTCACTTTGTTAACCACATTTAAGTAGTGTAAAGGCACATTTAAAACATGATTTCTGTGAAGAATGAACACCAAACAGTAATGAAAGCCAACCTGTGATGAGTGCATACTATGTGCTCCACATTATGCCGAGTACTTAATGTTTTTTCTCATTTCATTTTCTCAGCTGCCTCATGAGGCAGGCCCTAATATTATTTCCATTTACATGTGAGTAATCTGAAAGGAAAAACAGTTCAGAAATGTTTCCGAGCTCATAAATGATAAGGCCAGGACATCTGTTTCCAGACATCACTATTACTACTGCCCCCCAAATTTTTGCCAAGATTTCTGCTCATAATGGTAACTATATAAGTGTGTCAGAATATGGACAAATGTGAATTAACCCAGAAATAAAACAGTAATATTATTAGCTGATGAGATTGTGGATGCTTTCCTTTGTCTTTCATTATTATTTTTTAAATTACCCTTAATGGTGCTATTAAATTCACACACATATACACACTCACACACACATTTGTGATTCTTTGGCCACATGCTTAGAAGTGGTCTCTTTCTTACTGGCTTTTCCTGACCCAAAATTTGCTATCATAGTGCCATACACAGAACATACAGTTTGGTCAAGCATAAAACAATTTGTTTTTTGTTTTGGGGGATGTTTTTGCCCATTGCCTGTAATCCCAGCACTCTGGGAGGCCGAGGTGGGCAGATCACAAGATTAGAAGATCGAGACCATCCTGGCTAACATCGTGAAACCCCATCTCTACGAAAATATAAAAAATTAGCCAGGCCTGGTGGGGCACACCTGTAGTACCAGCTACTTGGGAGGCTGAGGCAGGGGAATCCCTTGAACCTGGGAGGCGGAGGTTGCAGTGAGCCAAGATTGCACCACAGCACTCCAGCCTGGAGACAGACGAAACTCCACCTCAAAAAAACAAAAACAAAAACAAAACAAAAAAATAGAGACTTTTTTACCCTCATTATTTCCCTTTCCTTCTTTAACTTCAGAGGTGTGTAAGACAAACTCCATTACAGATATAGATGTGACTTGTCATCTTTGGACTCACTACATAACTTCTGTGCCTAGAATAGAAATTTGAATGCAGAATCATAGTTTTGCGATTGTTTAGTAAAGGTTATTATGAAATGAGTTCACAGTGGACTGGTTACCAACTTGTCTAAATCCAGGGAAACAGAATACATCCATATGCAACAAGTTACATGAAGCAGGTTTACCACTTACAGTAGGCAGCAATGAACAACAGAAGCCCAGGAGTCATTGGGAGCAGACCCTCCAAGGCTCAGAAAGCTGCCTGGGGTGGATGAAGTCTCAACTGTGTGTGTCCCACTTGCACCACAGATAAGGAACTCTGACAGACAGCAGGCTTAAGATTATATATACCCAGGGGTTACATGACAAGTGGGCTAAAACACTGAAAACATCCTGTTTTGGGGTGAGAAGAGGGGGCTGGATCAGAGCCCAGGCTATCGGGCTCCCCTTTTATCTGATAATGTTGTATTCCCAGCACAGTCTATAGTTATTCTTGAGAAATACATGCAAAAAAAAGAGGGGGCATGGTGGGAGGAACTGGATCAGTCTAAGGCCACCCAAAGAACTGTCCTGCAGTTATATATGTCCATAGTATTTTGAAACTGGGAGGTAATGCTGTTTATTTTCACAGGAAACCAAGCTGGCACTGTATGCTCCACGGCACCCATGAAAGAGAGCATGGAACAGGGAATAGAAAGCATTGAACAAACTTGGGCTTTAGAATCATCTGTGAAATGGGGATAAGACCACAGAGGATTATTATAAATCAAACAAAATATACAAACTGTTAAGCATTGTGGCTGGCAGATGGTTCTTAGAAAATGTTATTTATTACTAGGACTACCACTACCAGTAAGGCACCCTGTGTAATACCTAGAACTTTAAACATGCTTAGCTTCCGTTCTATGCCATCCTAGTAATGACATCTCTCTCCTCACAGCCAAAGGTGTCTGGATACCTTCTATTTCATTGGTAATTGTTTTACTGTAAATAGTTCCATCATCCACAAGCGGTTTTGCCCTCCTGCTAGCCCTAGAATTTATCTCAATAGGTCTACACGATGAACCCAAGTATCCACCTAGCAAGCTGGTGGCCCTGCTTTTCAGCAAAGAAAAAGCCCTCTCCAATCAGCCCTTGTCTAGGACCCCAGCAGATTCCTACCATTATTTGTTTCCAAGCATTTAGTTGATTCACAACATGCATTAAAGAACCAAATAGATCCCTAGAGTACAAAGATAGCCATTGTCCCTGGTATGCTTCTCCCTGCATCCAGCTGCTCTTTAGGCTCCACAAGTTCCAGAATGCCAAAACATTGCTCCTGACATATCACACCTGCTTCCAGGATGTGTCTCACCCCACACCAGCCTGGCTACAGCCACGGGCCCAGTTTCATGATTCTGTACTGCCCAGATGAACTCTTGTTGCTTGACTGGCTTTTATGGATGTAGCAAAGTCCATTTGGTTTTGTTTTAATAACATCCCAATAAAAGAGCTGGGAAATTAGATGCTAGGAATGACATTTAAATCCTCCACTTCCCTTTGCTGCAATAATGGCTTTCTTGATTATAAAGGAGATAAATTTTATTAAATTATATGAAGTTTTTCCATTCGAAAGCAATTAAAAAATGCTTTCAGTTCAGAATTACAAAACTATTTGCTTCAGATTCAAGGCTGACATTTTTATTGGCAATTTGAGTTATAACATGCTCAGCTCTGTGCCCATTCATTGATCCCTGATACTTCTGCCAACTCTTTATGGCTTTATGTGAAAGTACAGTGTTTAAGCCTCCTCTAAATTCATGAGCTGCCCCTGCTTCTGAAAAAGGCTCTCTCAGTGTCTCAACAACCCACAACCAGGGCTGATGTTTATTTAAAAACATCTGTTCCATCCTTTGTGGTATAACATACCAAAGTAGCCTGACATTTTAAATACTTTCTCTTTACACTTTGTGTCAAATAGTGAGAGAATGTAACTGCTTTTGTGATGAAAAACTGTTCAGGGCAATTACAAGATGATACAGTAAGTGGACTAAATGGTACCAAAAGTAATCAAAGGAAAACACTGGGATTAGCTCCACTTTTATGGAGATTCCTAGCTCCCCAAATATCTTCATGATTATGCTTTGTGTCTTAGTGCTTCCTAATTGATAATGAGAATAGTCCTTTGTTATTTAATTTTTTAGGATAAGAAAGTGAATTATTACTGTTAAAGTTTTTGGCAAATAAGGACAAGCAAAAAAAAAAAAAAAAAAAAAAACAACACTATCTCTATGTCTCTGATTGCTAGGTCCACCTGGCAGCCAGGGGTGGCCAGGAATTCTTTTAGTGCTACGGACCACTGATTCTTTTCATCACCATCCTGACTTGCCAGTGTTATATTCAGTGTAGAAGTGGATCAACAGCATAAGGAAATGCAGCGTTTTTTTTTTTAAACTTAAAGTGGATACAAATCACTTAACTACCAGAATATTGCCTAGACTCTGATCAACCTACTTTAAGATGGCTGTTTCTAGAAAAACAGGTGCTTCTAATATTTGAAAAGAAAGTTTCTATAAATAAACTAAACACATCTTCAACAAGATACACATACAGAAATGTAAAAAACTGTTTTATGTTATAGATTGGGCAAAAGTAAACTTTAGCCTCTATTGATAACAGATTCTAAATATCTTTAATTAGCAGAAAACCATAGGACTGAAGGTACCTGAACATTCTCTTAGACAAGATATCTGAAGCAAAGGAGACATTTAAAGGAGGTGAAAGTCAAAAAGGGTTAAATTTCCTGAGGAGAAATTTGACAGCTACAATACACCCAACATAGAAGAAACCACAGGTCTGTTTCCTAAGTAGGAAGAAGAACAGTTTCTCTGTGTTATTGAAAATTGGTTTCTGCAGTCACTGAACCACAGGATATCAGTGCCAGAGGAAGTCTTAGAACATTGCAGCAGCAAGAGGCACTGTCCTGCCCTGGCCAGGCTTGAGCTCTACCCTTTTCAATTATAGGTTTCAGTAGGAACCTCCTAACACCCCCTGCCCCGCCCGCCATTCATTCCACACACCTGGGATTCTGCTATCCCAGGGGTTATCGATCATGGGTTAGCACAAAAGCTCATAACCATACTCAAATGAATTATCTAAAAGCAGCCAAAAATGCAGGGCCTTAGGATATGCAGAAAGTAGATGCAACAGGGAAATGTTATTTGTGACCTTTTAATATTGTGGTTCACTTTAGTCTATAAATCTCCTTTTCTGATCGTACCAGCCTACCTTGTGACCACATGGGCCTTTGATTGCCCTCTTTATTAGCTTAGCAAATGGAGTGATGTGTGAGTTTCTGTCACAGTGCTGACTCTGTTACAAAGTGCAAAGGGAACTCCCACCCACCATGGACCAGGAGGCACCCTAATGCCAAAATCCATCTGTTTTATGGAAAGTCAACAGAAATGTTTTATCAAAAAGCACACATATAAATCTCTACTGCTGTCACTTTGTATTGGACCCTTCCACATTATATAACATGTCAAATCATTTGCCATCTTAAAATCAGAAACAAAAGAGAGAACCCAGACTCCTCCCTTGACCCACATCCCCTCTAGCCACCACCAGATTTCTATCCTTCTCTTTATAACACCATTAAGAAGAAATAGTCATAATCCTGATCCCTTCTTCTCTCCTCCCATTTTTTCTTATTCCTCTCCAATCAGGCTGTTTCCACAATCAACCAAAACAGCTACTTTCAACTGTCACCAACAAACGCCTTGTTGATGCTTGCTTACTGGCTGCTTTTATTCTCCAGTCTCTTTGTGTTCCTCCTGTCACCTTGCAACTTTTAAATGCTAAAGCATGTGAAAGCTCAGTCTTAAGATCTCATCCCTTTTCTTTCTACTCTGTCTTGCTTGGTGCTGCCAACCAGATCCACAGACTTAAACACCATCTACATGCTGTTGACTCTCGAAGTATAATGCCAGTCCAGATGTCATAGAACACTAGTCTCCAACGGTTTTCTTAACATTCTCGTCTGAATTCTAATAGAAGTTCCAAACTTAACCTGCTCATTTCCTACAACCAGTTTCTCCTACAGCATTCCTCATCTTAGGAAATAAAAATTCCATTCTTCAAGTTGTGGCAGCTCACTCTCACCCCCGTAAAATTAGAGTCAGCCTTGACTCCTTTCCTTCTTTCATACTTCATGTCCAATCTGTCAGCAAATTACTTTGACTCTACCACTGAAGTATTTCTAAAAACAAAGCACTTTTTGCCACCCTAGTTCAAGCAACCATCATTGCACACCCAGGTTTTTTCCAACACTCCTAACCGAACTTGCTTCCACACTTGATCCCAAATGTATATTTTTCACAAAGTGATCAAAGAGATCCTGTAAAACATATATTTAAATTATATCTTTAAATTATTATACAGTCAAATTGACTCCTTTTTTGCTGTTGAGTGTCAATATCTTGATACGCCTATGATCAAAATTCTCTAATGGCTTTCTGATGTCCCTATCCTGGCCCCCAAAACCCTGTGTGAGCTAGACTCCAATTACATCTCTCCACTTCCCAACTTCCTCACCTACCTCCTTTGCTCTGCCCTGGAACACTGTGGGCTTGCTGTTTCTTAAAACCCAAATCACTCTCTCACTTTTGCCTCTACTCTGCCTGCAATGCTTACCTTGTGAATATATGCCTCACTTAACATTTCACTCCCTCCAGGTTGTCTACTCAAATGGCATCTTATCAGGAAAGTTTCATGTGACCATCCTATCTAAAAAAAGGACCCCAACTCTGTGCCTTGCACTGTACTGTACTTTCTTTCACAACATTTATCACACCCCCTGGCTCACTACTTCTATTACCTATTTATTCATTTGTATATTTATTATCCATCTTTCCTTATCAGTACGCAAATTTAATGAGGGAGAACATTCGTTGTTCACTGTTACATCCCATTGTCTACAACAGTATGATTCATGTAGTAGTACTCAAATACATATTAAATCACTGAATCAATAAATCAATGAATGTTAGGCTTCGAAAGGACCACAGAGAACATCACATTAAATTGAGTTTATCACACATCTCTTACCCCGTTCAATTTGTCACACATTCCTCTAGGCACTAGGGAAGCAATAACATACAGGTCATTTACAGGACACTCTACTTTGCAAAGTTAAAAATTAGGCATGTCTTTTAATGTACAAATTTTGGAAGACATTTGAGTAAGGATAATGGAAAATTTCTACATGCTAGAGGAAATCTTAACTACTTACAATTTCCTATGTCCATGCACACATATATAGATACACACATAGGATTCTCTCATAGGAGAAACAGAAGGTATCTGAATGGGCAAGCTGCAATCACACATGACAACAATAAGGAGTAAGGATGGGTTCCAGGAAAGTTTCTATATGCTTACTGGTTAACTCTTCAGGTGAGAAAGGAGATTTGCAGCAAAGTAAGCAAAGGTTACTGTATTAGTTCATTCTCACGCTTTTATGAAGAAATACCTGAGACTTAGTAATTTATAAAGAAAATAGGTTTAATTGACTCACAGTTCCATAAAGCTGAGGAGGCCTCAAGAAACTTGCAATCATGGTGGAAAGGGAAGCAAGCACATCCTTCTTCATATGGCAGCAGCAAGGAGAAGTGCAGAGCAAAAGGGGGAAAAGCCCCTTATACAACCATCAGATCTCATGAGAACTCACTCACTATCATGAGAACAGCATGTGGGTAACTGCCCCATGATTAAATTACCTCCCACTAGGTCCCTCCCATGACACATGAGGATTATGGGAACTACAATTCAAGATGAGATTTGGGTGGGGACACAGCCAAAGCATATCAGTTACTATACATGGTAGACAATCATTTTCTGGTGTAAGGAAATCTGTGATAAATATTTATTTTAAAGAAACCTATTTTCTTTTAAACACAATGAGTGATTCAGATTATCCTCCGAATGACACTAGATACCACTCCCTATAAAAGACTCTACATTCGTGCCAGTGCAAGCTCTAGGAAAACAGGAACAAATTGGACAATGTACGTCTTTTTGAGGGCATTAAATCTTATATAACTTCATATATGAACACATAAACACACCTAATTTCTACTATCTTTCTTTGCATTTTCACAAGAATTCTCTTCTATATTGCTGCTCTACTCCAAGTACTGATGCTGCAAAACGAGATAATATAAATCATATGTTTTCATCAGTGGCACTAATGAAACTTCCAGATAAAGAGAGGTAAAATGTGACTATGTCAAGATTTCACAAGCAAGAACACCATATTTGAGACCTATTAAAGACATTACCGTATTTTTTAAAGTCTTCACCCGAGCTTTTAAATTCCCTTAGTTTTGGCTGCATAAGTCTAGGACTCAAATTTGGATCTGAAAACTACCTGCCATCTGAATTTGAGCAACATTTTTTAGCTTCTTTTCCTTTCTTCTCATAACTGGACATTGCCCATCCCTCATAAACCACAAGCTCATTATAAGAATAAAATAAAATAACACTGGTAAAGTGGCCAGCATAGTGCTAAGTATATAGTACCTGCTGAATACACATGTGTTCTCTCTTTCTCTTTCTTATATGAAACCTGCACTGCAATTCAGTATCAACCTCATTAAGTCAGTCTCACTAAAAGTGGAATAGATGATGTGTTACTTGCTCTCTAGTGAAGAAATTAATTGTGTGTGTATGTGTATTTGAGTATTCAATCCTCTAAACTTGATTATGCATCTATACAATCATATTTAGACTTTAGTTTTGTTCTAAAATGTTATGAATTTGTTCCCTCTCACTGGATATCCTTTCAGACTGAATAGTCCCTTCAACCAGACATTGGCATACAGAAGAATGGCCAGTTTCATAATCCAAATACTTTTTTTATGATTTGAGAAAGGGACAGAGAAGAAATTTAATTTGGCCTTTAGACAAGGCCATCTACCAATCTACCAGTTCATCCAGCCAGCCTCATCCTGTACCAAGCACTCTTGTTATGAACCCCTGCTCTCAACACCTGACTTCAATCCCACCAGGGACTACACCTTCCCCATCTTAGTCCTTATCACACCAACTGGGGATCTCCACTCAACTCACTTTACCTTGCAAAGGGAAACACAGAACAGTCCATATATTTTTTCCACTGTTTATTTCCCACAATGTCCCACAGTGAGATTCCAGAAAGGGAAAACTGCTTTGTATGTGATACAGCTTCTGGCCCTAAGAAACACATATGTAAATAAACATACATTTTCATTTCCATCTATCAGTCTCATAAAGAGTATTTAAAATTTCAGGTATCCAGTTTTTCTAATCAGCAATTCATGAGACACTTTGCAAATGTAATAGTATCCTAATGTTAAAAACCATATATAATTCAAATTATTTTCATAAAATTAACTTTATTAAAAAAGGCAAATTGGAAAGAATGGGAAAGAGAATTCTATTTTTAATATTGTTAATTTTCCCTTCTCTTTATACATTTAAGCAATTAAAATTGAAACATTCAATCTCCAAGATACAGATTGATTTTTAAATAAATGACAGTTTGTTAACTCTGCAAGTCTTTGCACTAAAAAAACTGCAGAACTTTCCTGTAGAAGCTTCAGCCTTAAGGCTGAAACACAGCTGCGGATTTTGGACAAATCCAGACTCTCTTCTAACATATTTCTGGTTAACAGAAAGTAAGAACATCAAATTTTAGCTTGGCAGCTCAGGAAAATGGTGACAAACTAGAGCCATTTATCAGATGGGTTTTGTTGACGTGACAAAAACAACAAAGAGGTGTCTATTAAAAAAATAAAATGCATGAACATCTACTATGTGCTATGCACTGCTAAACAATGTAATGTCTAACTATCAATTATTTTGATCACAGAACAATGCATAAGGATGCTATCATTTGTCATCTTTAAAACATTTCAGGTTTCTGTTGTTGTTGTTGTTGTTTGTTTTTTTCCCCAAGATGGCAGATGGAGGCATTGTTAGCACGCCTCTTCTACTTGGAAAGACACAGTAGTATGTAGAGATTCACAATGTTAGCTTTTTTCCAAGAAGAACCATGGGAATTTAACAGAAAAACTAAGAAGAAACCACAGACCCTTTGAAACAAATGGCAGGCAGTACCCTTCACTGTGAACCAGATAGAAAACTGTGAGTCTTCAGAGTGTGAGAAGAGGAGAGAGCCTCTGTGACACACACTCCCACAGGGGAGCCAGGAAATCCAGGTTAGGTAGAAAGGCCTTAACCCTACCTAGCACTGGAGCTGATTTAGTGAGTAGTAGGGAGTATATAAGAAGGAACAGCATTGGGACATGCTTTGTGTGCACTCCCAGAATCCAGCAGGGATGGAGGGAAGCCATTCTTGATCCTACTAGAGGACCTCTCGGAAGTCTGTCAGCTAACTCAGGCAGCGGTCAAAGGTTGAGAGAAGCTTCCAACTGAGATTTGTGATATAGTCTTGAGTGGGGATGCGCCCTGTTGGCCAGAACTGAAGAGCAAGTGGGAAGTGGCTACAGTCATGCACACAGGAGCTGAATGCCCCTACTTCATGGGCAGACCAGGAGAGGCGTGGCCTGAAAGCCACAGTTTCTGTCTTCGTCTGGAATGCTTATGGCCTGGGATAGTTCTGAGTTCTGAGTACAGGCTGCCTGGAACCCAGCTATCTGCTGCTAGCAGAACACTATGGGTGTGAGAACTGCCTTGACAAGTGTGTAGGAGCTGAATGGGGCATACTTCCACCTACTACACACCACTCCCTATGAGGATTATTTTGTGTATCTGAGGCAGCTGCACTTCTCTCTAGAACATTACCCCAGCAGCCAGAGAACTGCCATGTTAACACCACTGGGGCTGCAGCTTGCACACATATGTGGGGAGCCAGAGTATGATTGTCTGACCCAGCTCCCACCTGGCTTTGCCCCTCCAGCAGCCCTAGCAGCATAATACAATGGACAGGGATGTTTGGGAGCTCCATGACCATCCCCTCCACCCTCACCGCATTGCCCGAGACACCAGAGTACCTCCCCTGGGTAACATAAAGCAAGCATAAATTCCACAGCTACCACTGCAGATAGTGCTCCTTTGCAGGTTCCACCTCCTTGCTGGAAGCCACCCAGCAGAGCCCATTACAGCATCGTCAGGCACAATAGCATAGCACTTAGGAAGAAAAAAAATTTTGCATGACCTCAGGTATTGCCATTGCCTGCATCACCCTGCCTAACCAGGAGGTCTTGAGTTTGTCCATGAACCTAGTTCATTACTACTACTGCTGGAATTTGAGAAAGCCAATACATTAAGGCTACTGGTAATAAGGAAAATCTCAGAATCTCAGAGTATACGTCATTCCTCACCCTCCCCCAATGAGAGGTGGTGCTTGTACCTGCTACTGGGAGACTAGAAGACAGGTCACCTCATTGAGTCCCTTGCAGACATTCCCCAGCACCAGCCTAAATATGGCAGCCCCAGTGGGCAGCGAGACCCAGAATAGCAGCAGGATCCACAGTAGTCTGGTCTCAGGGACTGCTACTCCTAGAAAAAGGGGGAATGCATCACATTAAGGGAGCACTACATGGAACTGAAGAAACCAGGCTGTAGGTCTTCAGTCTCTGAACTTTCCTCTTGTGGGATGTTTCTTTCAGCCGAAGCAAAGGTGCAATGCTGGACTCAATGGGGAAAGTCTGCAATTCTACCCCAACAGTCAGGCAGCCTCAGTGTTCATGAAGGGTCTTAGAGAAGGAAACTTCTACCCCTCACCCACCACTGCAGACAGAGTTGGGGCTTCTCCCACGGGAGTTCAGCATGGATGCATCAGTAGATAGCCTTTCTAGAACACTTCAGGGTGACTGTATTTCCACAGGAGGAGTGTCCTCCAGGTTCAAGGTCACACAATCCCTATCTATGTGGAACATCAGCATTTCTGTAGATGAAAAGAGGTGCCTGTCTGACTGAATCACTGGAACACCAATTCAGGAGTGTGACTGGTGATTGCTTTCTTGCTGGTCTGGAAGGACAGCTGTGGTGGCTCCCTCACTTCCCCCTGAAAAGAACAGTGCATTTCACTGAGAGCTTCCCCAACTGCCTCTGTCAAGGCTGAGACCTCTGCCCACTTCTGCCCATCATTGGGGTATTGCATTTACCCATCTGTTTTAGCCACAGTCAGTTTTTACCTGTGGGCAACCCCTACGGGCCTAAATTTTGAACTGTTCAACCCAGCAAGTAAGATACTGGGGAAAAAAAAAGTTTAAAATGCACTCCACTGGGGAAGAAGATAAGCTTTATTAGACCTCTGGCATTCCAGCCCCACAGGAGACAGTGAACCTGCTCACATATCCAGTACATACCTACTATAACCAACATCTGAGAAAGCCATCATACAAAGATTCTCTATAACCAAGAACTCATACAGAGTTTCTGCCAATAAAAACACTCAGAGCCAACGTTAGGTGACAACAAACTATAAACATTAAAGTCGCATTCTCAAGTAGAAAAAAAATTTTTAAACCCAGTTGAATAAAAAACAAATTCAATTATAATTAGAAGAAATAGTCTACCCAAATGAGAAGAAACCAGAAAAATAATTCTGGCAATATGAAGAAAATAAAGATCTATTACACCCCCAAAAGATCACACTAGCTTTCCAGCAGTGGACCCAAGCCAAGATGAAAACTTTGAAACACTAGATAAATAATTCAAAAGGCTGATTATTACATTATTCAAGGAGATATAAGACAAAGGTGAAAAACAACATAAAAAACTTTGTTAAAAATTTGGGATATGAATGAAAAATTTTCTAAACAGATGACATTTAAAAAAACTCAATCAAAATTTCTGGAAATCAAAGACACATTTACAGAAATAAAAAAAATGTGGGAGGCCGAGATGGGTGGATCACAAGGTCAGGAGATCGAGACCATCCTGGATAACACAGTGAAACCCCATCTCTACTAAAAATACAAAAAAATTAGCCGGGCGTGGTGGCAGGCGCCTGTAGTCCCAGCTACTCAGGAGGCTGAGGCAGGAGAATGGCATGAACCCAGGAGGCGGAGCTTGCAGTGAGCTGAGATCATGCCACTGCACTCCAGCCTGGGCAACAGAGAGAGACACCATCTCAAAAAAAAAAAAAATGCAGTGGAAAATTTAAACAATGGACTAAACCAAGTAGAAGAAAGAATTTCAGAACTCAAAGGCAAGGCTTTTGAATTAACTCAATCAGGCAAAAATAATGAAAAAATAACTAAAATAAATTAACAAAGGTATCCAAGTAATATGGGATCATGTTAAACTGCCAAACCTAAGAATTATAGTCGTTCCTGAGAGAGAAGAAAAACCAAAATGTTTGGACAACCTATTTAAGTGAATAATTGAGGAAAACTTCCCTGGTCTTGATAGAGATTCAGACATCAAAACACAAGAAGCTCAAATAACTTGTGGGAGACTCATTGCAAAAAGGACATCACCAAGGCATATAGTCATCAGGCTATCTAAAATCAATCTGGAGGGAAGAACTCTAAGAGCAATGGGATAAAAGCATCAGATAACCTGCAAAAGAAAAACCTAACAGCAGACTAACAGCAGATTTCTCAGCAGAAACCTTCCAAGCCATAAGGGATTTGGATCACATCTTTAGTCTCCTTAAACAGAATCACTGTCAGTCAAGAATTTTGTCTCCAGAAAAACTAAGTTTCATAAATTAAGGAGAAAAATGTCTCTCCCAGATTAGCAAATACTGAAGGAATTTGTCAATACTTGACCAGTCCTACAAGAAATGTTAAAAGGACTTCTAAATCTTGAAACAAAAGGTTGACATACACCAGAAGAGAAATTCCTGAAAGCATAAAATTCAGAGGGCTTATAAAACAATAACACAATGATGAAAACAAAGTCACTAGGTAACAATTGACATAATGACTGGAACAGTATCTCACATCTCAATATTAACATTGAATGTTAAATGCTCCACTTAAAAGATACAGATTGGCAGAATGGATTTAAAAAACCACAAATCAAATATCTACTGTCTTCAGGAGACACACTTGATACATAAGGATTCTTATAGACTTCAGGTAAAGGGGTAGAAAAAGATATTTCACAGAAATGGAAACCAAAAGCGAGCAATAATAGCTACTTTTATATCAGATAAAACACATTTTAAAGCATCAACAGTAAAACAAAACAAAGAAGATCATTTTATAATGATAAAAAGATCAATTTAACAAGAAGTTATAGCAATCCTAAATATATATGCACCTAACTCCAGAGCTCCCAGATTTATAAAGCAATTACCACCAGACCTAGGAAAAGAAATAGGCAGTAACACAAAAATAGTGGGAGACACCAGCACTCTACTGACAATATTAGACAGATCATTGAGGCAGAAAGACAACAAACATTGGACTTATACTGCACTCTGGAACAAATAAATTTTAAAAAATCAAAATCATATCACATATCTTCTCAGACCACAGTGGAATAAAACTAGAAATAAATTTGAAAAGGAACCCTGAAAACTGTACAAATACATGGAAATTGAATGATATGCTTCTGAATGATTTCTTGGTTAACAATGAAATTAATAACATGAATGATAACAGTGATGAAAGTTATAAAAACCTCTGGGATACAGCAAAAGCACTGCTAAAAGGAAAGTTTATAGCACTAAATGACTACATTAAAAAAGTCTGAAAGATTACAAATTGACAACCTAACTTCACACCTCAAGGAATTAGAGGAATAAGAGCAAACCAAACCCAAAGGTAGCGAAAGAAAAGAAATAACGAAGATCAGAGCAGAACCAAAGAAAATTGAAATCAAAAAACCAAACAAAACAAAAAATCAATGAAATAAAAAGGTGGTTATCTGAAAAGATAAACAAAACTATCTATGTTCACCAGGAAATGAAGACAGAAGATTCAAATAAGCCCAATTAAAAATTAAAATGGAGACATTATAACTGATGCCACAGAAATACAAAAGAGGATTTGAGACTACTATAAATACCACAGCTCTCTGCACGCTAACTAGAAAATCCAGAGGAAATGGATAACCCTTGGAAACATACATCCCCCTTAACTTGAATCAGAAATAAACAGAAACACTTAACAGACCATAACAAGCAGTGAGATTGACTCAGGAATTTTTTAAAAATTTTAAAAATCTGACAAAAAAAGCCCAGAGCCAGACGGATTCACAAATTCTTCCAGACAAAGAAGAATTGGTACTAATTCTACTAAAACTATTCCAAAAGATGTAGGAGGGAATCCTTCCTAACTCATTCTATGAAGGCAGTATCACCATGATACAAAAGCCAGAAAAGAACATAACAAAAAAAGAAAATTACACACCAGTATCTCTTATGAATATATACACAAAATTTCTCAACAAAATAATAGCAAACTGAATTCAATGCACATCAAAAAAATTGACCATTATAAAGTGGGTTTTATTCCATGGATGATTCAACATATGCAGGTCAATAAATGTGATTCATCACATAAAAAGAATTTTTTTATTATACTTTACGTTTTAGGGTACATGTGCACAACGTGCAGGTTAGTTACATATGTATACATGTGCCATGTTGGTGTGCTGCACCCACCAACTCGTCATTTAACATTAGGTATATCTCCTAAAGCCATCCCTCCCCACTCCCCCCACCCCACAACAGGCCCCGGTGTGTGATGTTCCCCTTCCTGTGTCCATGTGTTCTCATTGTTCAGTTCCCACCTATCAGTGAGAACATGCGGTGTTTGGTTTTTTGTCCTTGCGATAGTTTTGGGTATATACCCAAAGGATTATAAATCATGCTGCTACAAAGACACATGCACACATATGTTTATTGCGGCACCATTCACAATAGCAAAGACTTGGAACCAAGCCAAATGTCCAACAATGATAGACTGGATTAAGAAAATTTGGCACATATACACCATGGAATATTATGCAGCCATAAAAATGATGAGTTCATGTCCTTTGTAGGGACATGGATGAAGCTGGAAACCATCATTCTCAGCAAACATAAAAAGAATTTAAAACAAAAAACATATGATCATCTCAATAGACAAAGAAAAGTCTTTGATAAAATCTGGCATTCCTCTATGATACAAACTCTCAACAAACTGGGCATAGAAGAAACATACCTAAAAATAGTAAAAGCCATACATGACAAACCCACAGCCAACATCATGCTGAATGGAGAAAAGTTGAAAGCATTCTCCCTGAGAACTGGAAGAAGACAAGGATCCCCACTTTCACCACTTCTTTTCAACATAGTACTGGAAGTCCTAGCCAGAACAATCAGGCAAGAAAAACAAAATAAATGGCATCCAAATTGGAAAAGAAAAAGTCAAACTATTGCTGTCTGCCAACGATAAAATCTTATACCTAGAAAACCCTCAAGACTCCTCCAAAAGAGTCCTAGATCTGATTAATGAATTCAGCAAAGCCTCAGATAACAAAACCAATGTACACAAGTCAGTAGCACTGCTATACACCAACAATGCCCAAGCTAAGCATCAAATTAAAAAGTATATACTAGGAATATACTTATCCAAAGAAATCAAAGCTCTCTACAAAAAAAAAACTATAAAACACTGCTGAGAGAAGTCATAAATGACACAAACAAATGGAAATACATTCCATGTTTATGAGTTGGAAGAATCAATTTCATAAGAATGACTATACTGCCCAGAGCAATCTACAGATTCAATGCAATTCCTATGAAAATACCAACATCATTTTTTATACTGCCCAAAGCAATTTACAGATTCAATGCAATTCCTATGAAAATACCAACATCATTAACAATTAAGATTGTTATTTCTAATTTCTAAAAAGAAAAAATAATATTTTTTGGTTTATAGGGAACCAAAAAAGAGCCCAAATAGCCAAAGCAATACTAAGCCAAAAGAATAAATCTGGAGGCATCATATTACCCAACTTCAAATTATACTACAAGGCTATAAATACCCAAACAGCACGGTACTGGTATAAAAGTAGACACATAGATCAATGGAACAGAATAGAGAATCTAGAAATAAATCCAAACATTTACAACCAATTGAGATTTGACAAAGCATACAAAAACATCAATTGGAGAAAGGACATCCTATTCAATTAATGGTTCTGGGAAGTTTGGATAGCTACATGTAGAAGAATGAAACTGCATCTCTATCTCTCACCATACACAAAAGTTAACTCAAGATGGATTCAAATATAAGACCTTAAACCACATAAATTCTGGAATGAAACCTAAGTAAAACTTCTGGACATTGGCCTAAGCAGAGAATTTATGACTAAGATCCCAAAAGCAAATGCTAACAAAAACAAAAATAAATAAGTGAGACCTTATTAAGCTAAAAAGCTGCACAGTGAAAGAAATAATCTTTTGAATAAACAGACAACCTGGGCCAGGCATGGTGGCTCACGCCTGTAATCACAGCACTTTGGGAGGCTGAGGCAGGTGGATCATGAGGTCAGGAGATGGAGATCATCCTGGCTAACACGGTGAAACTCCATCTC
Source organism: Homo sapiens (assembly GCF_000001405.40). Classification (NCBI taxonomy): domain Eukaryota; kingdom Metazoa; phylum Chordata; class Mammalia; order Primates; family Hominidae; genus Homo; species Homo sapiens. The sequence continues at coordinate 18,670,710 of NC_000002.12, read as the reverse complement.
TACTAAAAATACAAAAAATTAGCTGAGCTGGTGGCACACACCTGTAGTCCCAGCTACTGAAGAGGCTGAGGCAAGACAATCGCTTGAACCCAGGAGGCGGAGGTTGCAGTGAGCCGAGATCACGCCACTGCACTCCAGCCTGGGTGATCCAGACAGAACGAGACACTGACTCAAAAACAAACAAACAAACAAACAAACAAACAAACAGACAACCTACAGAATGGGAGAAAATACTTGGAAATTATGCTACTGACAAAGGACTAATATCCAGAATCTACAAGGAACTCAAGCACGTCAGCAAGAAAACAACAAATAATCCCATTAAAAAGTGAGCAAAAGACGTGAATAGATATACAATGGCCAATAAAGATTTTTAAAAATGCTCAACATCACTAATCATCAAGGAAATGCAAATTAAAACAACAATGATATATCACCTTACCCCAGCCAGAATGACCATTATTAAAAAGTCAAAAACAATAGATGTTGGTGTGGATGTGGTGAAAAAGGAATGTTTATACACTGCTGGTGAGAATGTAAATTAGCACAACTCCTATGGAAAACAGTATGGAAATTTCTCAAAAAAACAAAAAGCAAATCTAACATTTCATCCAGCAATCACACTACTGGGTAGTTACCCCAAAGAAAAGAAGTCACTAAATAAAAAAGACAGCTACACGCATATGTTTATCACAGCATAATTCACAATTGCAAAGATATAGGATCAACCGAAATGCTCATTAACCGATGAGTGGATAAAGAAAATGTAGTATTCCATACCATGGAATACTACCTAGCCATAAAAATGTAGTATTCCATACCAATTCCATACCATGGAATACTACCTAGCCTTAAAAAGAATGAAATAATGTATCTTGCAGCAACTTGAATGGAACTGGAGACCGTTATTCTAAGAGAAGTAATTCAAAAATCAAAAACCAAATACTGCACGTTCTCCCTCATAAGTGGGCACTAAGCTATGGGTACATAAAGGCATACAGAGTGGTATAATGCACACTGGAGACTCAGAAGGGAGGAGGGTGGATGGGGAGTAAGGGAGGAAAAACGACCTGTTCGGTATAGTGTACACTATTTGGATGATGTGTACACTAAAACCTTAGACTTTGCCACTATACAATTCATCCAAGTAACAAAAAACCACTTGTAAAGCTATTGAAATAAAAACATTTTTAAAAAACCACTTCTGAGTTTACAAAGGACTTTCACAACCTACTAGTTCATTTCAAAGACTCTGTAGTACCTATTATGAAATACTTCTTGATTATGTTGATTCAAAAGACAAAAGATACTCCCAGATGTGCCTTATGCCGAGGTTCCCAATGGTCCTTTTAAAGCTCTGAAGTGTCTTAGGAGGAAGATAACATGCAATGTGTAAAAACATGATCAGAACAAAACAGTTGTTCTTTATAATAGTTGTATCTGAAAATGACAAGAAAGAGTTGAGTGAAAGCCAGTAAAACCAAATCACTGATCCAGGTACAAGAGGCATTTCAACCACACTTTCCGATTAAGTGAGCAATATTTTTTCCTCTATTTTTTCCTCAGGCTTAAATCAATAGGTATATAAGCTTCCAGGCTATTAAAAATATCAATTGGATTCATAAGGTTGTCCAAGAGAATCTGACCTCAGCACATTGAGAAGAAAATTAGCTCAAATGGACACCATATTTGGATTCTACCCTCAAAGAGGCACATGTTACACTCAGTGGGAATCGTGTGGGTGTTAGTGAGGGGAGAATTGTCCTGGAATAGTTATAAATACTTTCACAAATGAGAAAACTATTTCATTAAATGTTTGATTTCTACTAACAACTACAGCAGCCAGAATATTCCTCACTATACTTTATTTTTATTTTGTTAAATGGATAGGTGTCAAATAGAATATCTTTTATAATTTACTGAAAGTGTTTTTATTTTCTTAGTTGGTTCAACTAGCAGTAAATATCATTTAAAAAATAAGCAGTGAATAAGTTAGACTGATTATTGACAAGAAAAAATTACCTTTCCTATATTTTATTTTTGCGCATAAAGATTCGACTATTAACCAGATAGTTAAGTGATTTATTTACTTTGGTAACAAGCCAGGCAGAAATATTTAAATTCTACTCTTGGAAGTAAGAATTATCTAATCATTCACAAGCTCTTATAATAAAACATTTATCATGGGCCATTAATCCTTTAGGACTTATTTTCCATCCCATCGTTTCACTGGCACCTTGCTTTGAACATAGTCAAGTTTGGCTGCAATTTTTCCTTTTATCATATATCATAGTTACAGGATGAGATGCACCAAAGCTGGATTCCAAAAACCCTGCACTTTGCTTGAACTTTGCACATAGAAAATCAACTAGTGATTCCAGGGCTGAGACTCATTCAGGCTTGAGGCCTGAGATCGCACTTGGATCATGGAGTACCAAAAGTTTAGGGTTAGATGACAGGAAAAAAATATCTAGTTGCAACATTACCTCACAGAGGTTTAAAAGTAGGTTTTAAATTCACAGGATACTTGTATTAGTCAGTTCTCACACTGCTAATAAAGACATACCTGAGACTGGGTAATTTACAAAAAAAAGAAAAAAGAGGTTTGATGGACTCATGGTTCCACATGGCTGGGGAAGCCTCACAATCATGGCAGAAGGCAAACGAGGAGAAAGGCACCTCTTACATGGTGGCAGGCAAAAGAGATTGTGCAGGAGAACTCCCATTTATAAAACCATCAGATTTCATGAGACTTATTCACTACCACAAGAACAGTATAGGGGAAACTGCCCCCATGATTCAATTCAATCCACCTGGCCCCGCCCTTGACATGTGGGGATTATTACAATTCAAGGTGAGATTTGGGTGGGGACATAGCCAAACCATATCAGTACTATTCTGGTAGTCTTATGTACAGGGCTAAGTGAGGTGACCCTGGATACATTCCTCTTATCCACAACTCCCACCCCAGCCTGTTCACCTCTACTTTGCACTGTGAAGGCCTAGTAGCCCTTTCTTGAAATACCTAACTCACTGCAAGTAAAGTTCCTTGAATGTTTCTTGGGCCTAAATAATACCAACACATACCTGCAGTTTCCTATTTGATAGCAAACTACCTTTGCTCAAAAATTACTTAGACTGAAACAATACAACAAATATAAAAACAGATCTGCATCAAATAAAGCTTTTAATTGCTCAAAATAATAGTCAATTTTGCACTAAAAGAGGTAAGGAGGAAGGAAAAGATGATTGCACTAAAAGTAAGGAGTTGTGTTTTTAAATCAAATCTTGTGTCATTTAATAAAATTATACTACTCTGTCTCACAGTAATGTCACAAAACTTAAGCTAGTGTTCAATGAAACATTTTGTAAACTACAAAGTAGCAGGCATATATGCTATTATTTTAATAATTTATGGCAATAATCTTAAAGTTACAATTTATTGGGTACCACACCCAGATCTACACAAGCAACTGGAGAAACAATCTAATCGTAGAGCATATAGGCCAAATATAACCCCCCAAAATGCAAACTATAACAATTTTACAGATGAGAAAACAGGTTCACAAGAGATCAAGTGATTTGACCAAAGCCACAGAAGCACCAAATGGCAAGAGATGAAATTTAAGCTGCAATCTGCTTGCAAAAGAATCATTCATTCTTGTGTCTACACTAATGTGGTGCACTGCTTCCAAAGTTCAATTTCTCAAAGAGGCTAATGGGCCTGTCTCTATGGATATGCTAGCCAAGTACTGTAACAGAAAAGAAATCAAGTAGAGTGAGCTATTGCAGAAGCACAGAAGAAAATAAAACAAAACAAACAAACAAATACATACATACATAGTTGACACTTGAACAAAATGGATTTCAACCATTCAGGTCCACTCTAAGTGGATTTTTTTCAATAAAAGTTACACAGAGTGTTCTTGCCTCTCCTGACTCCCCTTCCACCTCCTCCACCTCTTCTTTTGCCACCCTTGAGACAAGAAGACGAACCCCTCCTCTTCCTTCTCCTTCTCAGTTACTCAACATGATGACAGCAAGAATGAAAACCTCCATAATGATCCACTTCCACTTAATGAATAGTAAGTATATTTGCTCTTCCTTATAATTATCTTCATAAGATTTTCTTTCCTCTAGCTCACTTTATTGTAAGAATATAGTATATAATATATGTAACATACAATATTCATGTTAATCAACTGTTTATATTATTAATAAGTCTTCCAGTCAAAAGTAGGGTGTTATTAACTAATATTTTAAGGAGTCAAAAGTTAACGTGTGGAGTGTTGACAACTTGGTAGAGAGGGGTCAGTGTTCCTAACCCTGAACCCTGGAGTTATTCAGGGATCAAGTGTGTATATCCACGTGGATTTTCCTTATGGAGGATAAACATTTGAGGAAATGTCATATATGAGAATTAGAATAAGCTAGAGATGCCATTAATAACACCATATTTCTTTTATTTTTTTCAATTTAGAAGACACAGTTGGATCTTTTTGTTTTCTTTCTAAAAATTATTATTATTTTGTAATTGACAAATTATAATTGCATATATTTATAGGGTACAATGTGATGTTATCATAAATGTATACAGCATTGTGTACTTCAAAATAGTTTGTTGTTTTTAAAACTGAACACAACTTACAACTGATTGTCAAAAGCAACTTGTTAGTAATTACTCAGAGTGATGATTGTGAGAGAGTTTTCATTGCTTGCTCATCTGTGAATACAGCTCAACTACAAGGTATCTGTTTATCATAAGTCATCTCTAGGTAGTCATTTTCACCGATACCATCACACACAATCAGATTTAAGCTTACATTTGTAACACCAATTGTTGCTTAAAATATTTGAAGATTAGGCCCGGCATGGTGGCTCAAGCCTGTAATCCCAGGACTTCGGGAGGCAGAGGTGGGTGGATCACGAGGTCAGTATATCAAAGCCATCATGGCTAACATGGTGAAACCCCGTCTCTACTAAAAATACAAAAAAAAATTAGCCGGGCGTGGTGGCAGGTGCCTGTAGTCCCAGCTACTCGGCAGGATAATGGCGTGAACGCGGGAGGCGGAGCTTGCAGTGAGCCAAGATCGTGCCACTGTACTCCTGGGCAACAGAGCGAGACTCCGTCTCAAAAAAAAAATTGATAATTATACTATAAAGCAACACTGAAAGAAAAGTATTTTTTGTTTGCTTAAAATGTAAGTAGATTGCTTGTCACATGTCAGACAATTCAACGAATGTCAGTAAAATTCTATAGTTTTCAAAATCAGCAAAGCTTTTTCATGCTAGAAAGACAGTGGGGACAGAGCAGTAGTTTGGGCCCAAGACAGGATGACAGACAGGTAAACAAACTAACTCCCAATCTCTTCTACACCCTCCCAGACACAAAGTACTGTCTTTCAAGCATCAGAAATTTGTCAGAAATGTTCTGGCTTCTCTCAAAAGAGACTACTAGACTTCCTGTGGGAGGTAATTCAATTGATGCAAAGAAAAAGGTAACTTGGTCTCCTATGACAAACCTCAAATTTTACTGTCAGTAGTAAAGGTGCTGTGTTAAGATAACAAGCAGGAGTTAAGAAAGGAGAATGTCACCTGGTATTCTCTATAATCCCTAGCGGCCAAATTGATTCAGAGAAAGTTTGGACTGCATACTTGCGGATTCACCTCAAATGTTGATGTTGAGCCTAAAGAGGAAATTAATAGTTATTATATGGATTCGAGTATATTAATGGTTAAACATATAATAAAAATGGCATATTTAAGCTATACCCCCCCATGTTATCATTAAATCTGGTGGTCAAGTTATCATTGTTGATGTCTTAGATTTGATGATGTATGATTAAAACTATAAAAGTGAATCATTATTGAGCACTTACCGGGCATTGTATTAAGCTTTTTAATTTGTATTATCTCCTTTAAATCTCACAAAACTATATGACAGGTATATTATTTTCATTTTGCAGGCAACAGAACTGAGATTCAGACACAGATAAAATCCATTTTTACCACTCTGCTGTTAAATGATTAAGCCAAAATGTTAGCCCAGGCCTCCCTGATGACGAGGTCCTTTCTCAATGACCACACTGCATGAATGAACCTGTTACTGCAAGACCACATCTGTCATCTGTCTAAAGAAGTTCCAAAAGTAAGAAAACATCTGCCCTTCTCAAGGTCATAAATGATCCTTTAAACACTGGAAAGGCTGAACTTTGGTGAGCTCTTCATTTCTAAGTACTCTTTCATTTCTAAGTACTATTTGCTGCACCTTTGATTAAACTCCTCTCTACAGACCGTGTGTTAAAAGTACATATGAGGCCTTCCTGTATATTTTTTCAGACACTCTAAGAGAGAATCTTGCTAAATGAAATGTGATATGCCCAAAGAAGCATCTCATGCCTTTTGACAGGGGCTTTTTAGGCACACGGTTTATGTCACTTTTGTTATCTATAACTCTTCTCTCCCAGAAGTTCTGATAATATAAAGTAGACAATAAAACAAAGTAGAACTATTTTTCAACTACCTCTCATCAGCAGCAGGTCATCCAATTCTAACCTGGCTAGACTGTACCATCTCACACTTCAATCTCAGCTTATCTGTAAAGTAGGGAGAGCCACACTTTCATCCCTTCAATTACTTTAATAAATTGGTCATTTAATAATATCAAAACCAGACATGTTCAAATGTCTGCATTCCCTGACACATTACAGATGTTTGTACTTCTGATTTCTGAGGGAAAGTGGCAATACAAAAAGCATCGGATTCCAATTTCTTTCTCCCTAGAGTAAGCTGCCTCTGCACATTACACACGTGTCATGCACTTCTACACTCGCACCACATATGCATTCACACATACACACATACATACACCACATCCTCTCTGTGCCACCCTTCCCCTAGCTGATGGAGAGATGAGGTTGACTGGAGTGGCAGCCCTTGTCTTTGCTATCTCAGGTTCTCTTGCCTGATTTCTTCAACAGGGAGCAAATTTTTCAAATAATGCATTGTATGAATTAATCTACAATGCCTAATTCCCAGGTCACCTAGCTAAAGATCTTACATGTCAGCAGACATTGTAGGCATTCCATTCATTCAGCAAATATTTTTTGAAGCATTCCTGGGTCCAAAACCCAGTGTAACTATCAACTACAAAAAGGATGCAAAAAAAAAAAAAAAAAACATGCTATTTCCACTGAGCACAATAGGAGTCTGCTTACTCCTGACAGCTTCACTTTTTCTAACCCACAGAGACAGAGGAGAAAAGCCAGGGGGAAGGCTGAGTGCAGCAATTTTATTCTTTTTAAGCTTATTATTTCCCAAACAAATACTTACTTTTATAAGCAATCTTCTTTTATATAAACACACAAAAAAAGTAGCTGTTAAATTTGCACTGTAAATGCCAGTGCAAACAACTGACTGTGGATTTCTTATCATTCTGAAAACTTTCATATATTTTGGGAGGGTCCAATACATAGCTTACAGATCCAAACTTTTTAAGACCAAGAGTTTGTATTATACTTATCAATTATTGATATGTAAGACACAGTAATATGTTTTTATGAGTTTGCATCATTCTCATTGTTGTGTGTATGTTAAGTCAATTCACCCAGTACTTTGAATTCTGTCTGGCTTTACATGGTTGGGAGGAATTATTAATGCGGAAATATCAGTCATATTTTGATTTTAGTAATTAAATTGTTATATTCAGAGGAAACCAGGGTTTGGCTTTTTCAATGCTGAGGTGACCCCAGGTTTAACGAGAGTTCATACCTGCATGTGTATTGGCAGCACACGAGGAACAGGAAATGACACAGGGTATTCTCCCAGTCTCCCAGGATGAGAATCTGGGAGTTGGCAGCATGGACTGCTCTCTTCCACAGGGAGATGTTTAAGAGCCCTGTAGGATCATCCAAAGACGCCTCTGAATCCACGTGTCCAAACTCTTTAGAACCCCATGGAGAAAGCCCAGCTTCCATTCACCCTCTCAGAGGCAACCAGGAAAGAGAATGGTACATTTCAGTCTCTCTTCTATAGAGGATATCACAGTATCAAAAAAAAGAAAAAAAGAAAGGAAAGAAGGAACGAAGGAAGGAAGGGAGGAAGGAAGGAAGGAACCTGTAACATGAAGTCATAAATAAAGCAAAAACTGAAGCCTGAAGCCTTGGAAACATATTCACACGCCTGAGCTGACAGGGCTCCAAAAACATGCAGAAAACAAGTCACTTTCAGCACATGTCTCCTGTGCTCTTGGACCTTAGAATCTAGTGGAATATACACACATGAATCATGGCAAGTATAATAAGTGTTGCCAAGGGGAAACATAAAATGAAGAAACTGAGGTCCTGAAATGGTCAAGAAACTGCCTCAATCCATCGAGTGTTTTGGTAGCAGAACCAGGAGCAGATTTCAGTCTCTGGCCCTGCAGTCTACTGCTCCATCCATCATGCCTACCCCAACTTTGTGTTGCTTGGTTTTATTGTTTTGTTGTGTAAGAGCCAAAACCAACATGAATCCCAAACTTTAGGATCCACATTTATTATTGGTTTGCTGACATTAACACAAAGCTTTGATTTCTTCCTAGAATTTCACCTTAAAATTCTATTTTCACCACATGACAGATCATAGTCACGGATGTCCTGGATGTATATTAGTGACAGAATAATTTTTCTTTCAAAACTAACTTATATCATTAAATACCCTTTTGTCACTTTAAAAAAAAAAAAGATGCATAAGCTCTGAATTTCATTTTTTCTTTTTTTTTTTTACTTATAAATTTTCACCGCAGCATGCAAACCCTGCCAGGATTGATGGATCAGATGTCCCTCTGTGGATGTGCCATCTCTCACTAGGCCAAACTCAGTGATCCACTCATTTCAACCTGCTTCCTGCTTCCCCCAACTGTCGTGTCCTTTTAAGAGTCCATGCATTGCTCGGTTGCTCTTTTTGCGTGGATTTTATTACCGGAGGAATATCTCCTCAATTTTCAAGACTTAGCACACATGTCACCTGTAAATTTCCCCTCTTGCCCCTTTGTAGCCTCATTCTTCCAAATATAGACTTCTAAGAAAACAATGTCAAAAATTATCTTTTACTTGTTTGTGTGCATGTTTGTTTTTCACATGAGACTACAAGCCCCTTGATGGCAAGATATACATCAAATTTACTTCTGTAAACTCAGAATTGAGCATAATAAATGTTGCTTGCTCAATAATAAATAAATGCTGCTAGGTAAGTAAATGATTGACCTAGGGCATTGCTGTTTTTACAGCAATATTACTGTATTTCAGATAGCCAAGCCTAAACTAAAAATCTCCTGTTGGCTGCAAAAAGAAAGAAGGAAATTGAGAGATAGAAAGAAAGAAATTGAAACAAAACTTTAGCCTGTCCAAACTCAATTCCATCCAGCCAACAGGATTAGACCTCTGTAAGAGATCTCAAAAAGTACATAAAGCAGCAACCCAGAAGGAAACTTTAAAAGATGAACAAAAATTTCCTCCAAGATTGAGAGAAGAGAGAAAATGTACACATATTGTCTTCCAGGGGTAACAACTATTTCTTTCTTTTTTTTTTGAGACGGAGTCTCACTCTGTTGCCCAGGCTGGAGTGCAGTGGCATGATCTTGGCTCACTGCAAGCTCCGCCTCCTGGGTTCACGCCATTCTCCTGCCTCAGCCTCCCGAGTAGCTGGGACTACAGGCGCCCGCCACGACGCCCGGCTAATTTTTTGAATTTTTAGTAGAGATGGGGTTTCACCCGTGTTAGCCAGGATGGTCTTGATCTCCTGACTTCATGATCTGCCCACCTCAGCCTCCCAAAGTTGTGGGATTACAGGCATGAGCTACCACGCCCAGCCAAGTAACAACTATTTCTAAACAGACAAGTTTAGAAAGCAGAGGAAGAGGAAAAAAGAGTGACAAGTGGTAATATGGTACATACATAGGTGTCTCAAGTCAAGGGACCTGTGTTCCACCATGATGATGACATATTCATTGGAAGTTACGGGATGGTTAATATTTTCATTTATCATTGCTCTCTCAGGCTTCTTTCCCTTTGAAGAAGCGCAATATGAGAGGGTTTATATCATTTCATTATTTTTCTATCTTCTTAAAAATTAAAATATCTGCATATTTGAATCTCTGTAAACAGAGAAAACTATAGAGCCCTTTCTTGGGGTTGAGTTAATCTTGCCCCGGATAAGATGTTAAAAGAAAGGTGATAATAGTCTGAGCTGATGACTTTGTTTATAGCTTTGCTGTTCCTAGAAAAAGACCACCTGCATTCTTCTTATATCAACACACAGATGGAGTCTAGTGAGAAGAGGCTCATGACCCAGAGTTGCAAATCTTTATCCTGTTACCAGCATTTTTTTTCAGGCCAGACAGTGGGCTGAAGTCTCTATTTGACTTATTCAAAAATCCTAGAATGGGAGTTATGATGAAACCTTTCAAAAAGCACATTTTTGCATAGCATATAAAGCCCTTTAATAATCCTTCCTTCCCTCTGAAATTAAAAGTATGTAAACCCCTGAGCATGGTGGTAGACCTGACCAGGAAGTGGAAGGCATCCTCCACCCAGCTACAGAGATCCTCAACTGAGAGGCTAAGGCTGGTCACATTGTTTGACATGAGGGTTAGTTTTCAGATAGTGAAATTTCAGTTGCCAGGTGCCAGAGGCAATTTATCAGACACTCATAAAATAAAGATCAAAAAGCCCATCCGTCTCCCAATGCATCTGGGATCTAGGAAGGAACACTCACAACCCTCAGTCCTTTAAACAGCTCTCACTTAAAGAGCTTGATGTTTATAATAACAAGAAAAGGAGAAAGGGGTCAGGTCAAATTCTGCTGAATAACAGGTGTTGTTGTAAGTTTTTTGTTCTCTTTTTTTTTTCTTAAAACGTAATCTAAAAGAATATTGAGCTGTTGCAGTGGATGCCCTCCATATGTATTTTTGTAACATCTGTGAACCAAAAATTTGACCTGAAAACCAGAAAATAAAAGCCCTTGAACATTTTTTAAAAAGCACTTAAAGTTTTTCCATGAAATATTCAATATATTGAATTAACTTAATGGAATCAAATATTTTAACAATGTTACAATAGACTGAAAAATGGTGTTATCTGAGACTTAAAGTGTATTTGGAACATAACAATTTGTGATGACAATAATTAATAACTAATGATAACACTTGCATGTATATGAGACTTTTTTTCATTATTCCCTTGAGAGACAAAGAGACAAGGAGGCTTGCCTGAGGTCACAGAACATGTGAGTGATAAAAACACGTAAGCCTAGGTCTTGGAACTCTAGATTCTGTGTTCTTACAACTGAGCCTTCCTGCAGCCTTTCTTGGAGATGCAGCTTTGCATTGGGCGGTCAGTGCCTCAGTGAAGTCGTCGGCTTCACTTCCCATTGAATTGAAATTATTACATCAAAACTTTTGGTTGTTAAAAGCCAATTTAGGGGCTGATATTCAATTAAGAAATCTTTATCTTACTGTAGTTTCAAACTGTAATATTTTTCCATTTTGTTAAGCAAATGGTATGATTTTACATTAGCAGCAGTGTATATTTTGCAACTAGTCATATTTCCCTTTTAGTGTTCACTGGACAAGCATTCAGTGCTAAATACATTGTCCACTAATGTTAGGCCTTGTAGTTTTAGGTATTTTCTTCTTCCCTGTTCCCATCTTCTCATCTTACCACTTTATGCTTTTTTTCCTTTCCCTTATGCCTTTTTTCTTTCTCTCTCTGTCTCTCTCTCTGTCTCTCTCCACTTCTCTCTTCTATTCCCCCTCCTCCTTCTCCTCATCCTTCTCCTCCTTCTCCTTCTCTTATCCTTCTTCTACTTCTTTCATTATACACGTTCATTCTTTTTGAATTATAAAAGAGGTAGAAAAGGAAGGAAGAGAGATAAGAAGACAAGGATGGAGGACAGGAGAGAAGGAGAGAGGAATGAAGACAGAAAGGCAAAAAGAGCAGGAATCTGGAAAAATATACCATGATGGAGAAAATAAGTAAAACATCAAGAAGATTAAAATTTAGTAGGGCAACCAAGGGTTAATTGAATGTAGGAGTTCAAGAATAATGAGAACAAAAGGAAATTAGGGAAATTGAAGCTCAAGAAGAAAAAGATGCTTATTATTTCTGGAAATAAATCCACCACCATTTATATTTCTAGTCTTTCAAATTTGTCTATTCAAAATTTTAATATTTTATATATTCAAAGAAATAACGTAATATCACAGATAGATGATAGATAAGCAGGTCAACAGATAAATGATAGATAGAAATATAGATTTAAGATTCTAGAAAAGGCTGAATAATCCCAGAATTTCATAAAAGAACAGAGGGGAATGGCGAAAATTACATCAATCCTCAATGGAAACAAGGCAGCTTCAGTGCCATGCCCTGACCTTGGAACGATGCTGATCCTGAAAGTTAGATCTGCAGACAACATTTCAGATATGTTTATTGGAGAAGAAGACAGTAAAACAGTAGATATCTGGCAAGCTTAGGCATTCATCGGTAGAACTAAGGTTCCAATTTGGCGAACAACAAAATATTATTTTCTGAGTGTTTTGGACACAAGAGAAAATAAATCAAAGATAGCTTGTCAGCTATCATCATCTGCTGGCCCTGTAACTCACACATGGGATCATAAATTCATGTGTTTGGGGAGGGAGATACTTGGAGGTTCCTAGGAAAGATGTTTTTCTTAGCTTAGAGCCCTTCCTAAATGTCATATTAATTTGGCCTCCTTGTGGAGACGGTACATCTTGAGGGTTTTGAGAACTATGCCCCCCCCAAATTCACACTTGCTAAGGAAATGGCAATTGAAGGCATGATGCTGATGGGTTTAAAATCAAGGGATTCCTGCTCAGTGGTTCGGAAGTAAATGAGTTTGGTGCTGCGATTTGTCATGCAGCATTAGGACCTGGCTTTTGCCAGTGGGGCCGAGGTGCAGGTGGAGCAGTTCTGAGCTAGCAGGTGGAGCCACACCAGAGGCAAGCCACTGAATAAGAATAAATCATCTGACTCAGAGCCTGACAGACACAAAATTAGTAGTCGTTTTGATAATGGGTCATTTTTGAGTTCAAAGATAATTTCACTGTCTTCAGCAGTCACCATTTCCAAAGACAGCCAAGACACAAATTTTGGGGGAAATCAAAAGTCATTTAGGAACACAGACTATTCCCCAAAATTGGAAAACTCGGATGACTTTAGTGATCTATGACATGGAGTGTAACCAAAATCCTCCCTGACTTGATTTCTATAAGCAATGAGCATATAGAGAGATCAAGGTAACCTAGTTAAGTCACTCGTTTATATTCTGATTTTGCATAACCTGTGATCATCACTATCAGAAATCATAACTTCACTGCTTTATATTTGTACAGTTCCCCATAGACTATTTTGTGTAGAATTGTGTTCCCCAAAAAGATACATTGAAGTGTTAACCTCTGCTAACTTAGAATGTGAACTTACTTGGAAATAGTTGTCTTTAATAATGTATTCAAGTTAAAATGGGGTGACGCTAGATTAGGGTGGGCCCTCAATCAATGACTATTGTACTTATAAGAAGATCCTAGGAAGACATGGGGACTCTAATACACACAGAGAGGGAAGATGGACATGGAAGACAGAAGCAGAATTTGAGGGATGTAACTGTAAGCCAAGAAATGCCAAGGATTTCCAGCGGCCACTGGAAGCTAGGAGAAAGGCATAGCCCAGATTCTACCCAAGAACCTTCACAAGGAGCCAGCCTGGCCAACACCTAGATTTAAGACTTCTATCCTCTAAAATTGTGAGAATAAATTTCTGATAGCTTAAGCTACAAAGTTTATGGTGCTTTATACTAGCAGCCCTGGGAAACTAATACATACACTATACAGCACACTGACATTGAACATCTGATGTGACTGTTTATGAAAAACTGGGGTAAACAGAATCATTGATGGCATCATCATCATTACCATGTCTTCATTTCTCATAGAATGACTTTGTGCTAGGCATTGAGCTGTCTTTCCACAAAAAATAAAAAGTATTAGTAGCTCCACTTTACAGAAATAGAATCTGAGGTTCATAAAAGTTCAGTAACATGGCCAAAGACACACTGCTAGTAAGTTGTAGAGCAAGAATTTGAACACACTTTCAGTCTAAATCAGAACCAAATGTTATTTATAGAACTCTTAATGTTAAATGTTATTATAGAACTCACCATGATAACAACTCAAAAGTTGGAAAGAAATTTAACAGATTATCTTATCCCTGCCTCCTCATTTTATAAATGAAGAAACTGAAGTCTCTGTGCAGAAGATAAATTTTACTTAGGAACACTACTCCACGATGCTAACACAGGTCTTTGTCTCCTCATTCCAATATACCATACTAAGGACATTTTATGCTATATTATGTATGCTACATTTATTAGGAGATTTGGGCAAATGTGAAAAAGCGCTGAGTAAGCAAATCTTTTGGCCCATCCTCCTCAGACAGAGCCAGATATAGGTCACACAGGGATTAATTCTGGAAGGTCTACACTGGTCACCTAGCTTCCTTGGGCCAATCATTCTTTCCTTGCTTTCTGACTTGAGATACATTGATATTTGTGTTCCACAGTTGTGTCCTTGGCTAGCATAAAGCAGCAGCCCCCACTGTTTCTCAGAAAAGGCACAAACACACCAGGCATATCAATGCATGGACCAAGCTGACATCCTGGCTTCAATGCCACAAGAGTGAGATGTTTTTGGATCATTAGGTGCTCTTGGTGTCACTTAACAGAGAACACCTTTTTCTCTGATCTACTTTCTGTCAAGAAGGTATGTTAGAACAACTTGGAGGCCAGAATGATCTATAGTGCTGAACTGCTGCATTGTTCTTCCAGCTCAGCGCATGTACAGAACTCTCCTTAGGACCACATAGGAAGGCACACATGTCAAGTGCTAAGGAAGCTCCCCATGCAAAGCTTTGACACCTGCAGCAAAACGTCACGTTCCCTTTCCTGTAGAGCATTCAGTTTTTCAAGAATCTTATATCTTTATTGTATTCATTAATAAAACTAATAGTTTTATTATTCTTAATTTTGACTTATTAATTCCACTACCAGAAAATAAGTAAATATAGCATAACGTATAATGACACAGACTTTAGGCTCAGATAGTTTTGGATTTGCTTACTGACCGTGTGGTCTTGGATGAACTGTTAATTTCCAAATACCAGGTTACTCATTTGTAAAAAGAAAATAGTAATTAGTTTAGAGGTTACTATGAGGATTAATTAATGTAACACATGTGAAGTACTTAGCAATATAATTAAAACACGAAATATAAATGTAAATGTTTATTATTATTATTATACAAGGAATATTTGAGAAAATTTCACAAAGCAAACCAAGCTTTATATGAAAAAATATTTGTTGCAATGTTATATAAGGCAAAATGGGAGACAGAAGAAATAATCTAATGGCCCAAAGTATGGGATTCGTTTAAAGTATTTAGTGTCAAGATCCATGTGTGTATGTGTTTTTTTTCTTGGAACATAAGATTGAACAAAACACTGCTCTTGACTTTGAAGATCTCAGGGTCTGGTTGGGAAGACAAACACACAGTTCAATATTTTGTTCTAATTAATAGAAGAAAATTAATTTGGGGATGGACATATAAACAGGATGTTATGGCCCAGAAGAATGATATCCAAAGCCCTTAACATGACATTTGGATAGAGAGATGGTTTAAGAAGAGAACAGATTATGCACCTGTTGAAGGCAGTCAAGCCCCGCCCATTTCTTGTAGTATTCAATACATAACTGTTGTTAAAAGAAATTTTTAAAGTATTTTGGGTGACCCAGAATAAGTTCATTTTTTTTGAATCAGGGACATTTCCAGCTTTAAAATCTATAAAGTAACTTTTTCCACCTTTAAGTAATGATTTCAAATGTGCCTGAAGCTCAAGAATTCTAATCTCAAAAATAAATATTTAATAAAATTTATTTCCATATAATCGCCGCTAACAAGAAACATATTTAGATTGCACCAAATGAACATCAAAATTAGAGACATTTCCTTAGCTTTAACCTCTAGAATAGCCAGGGGAGAAAAAAAACCACAGCAACACATTCAAATGAATGAATTCCATTTTTCCAATTTTGTGTCATATTCTATGTTTATGGTATCAAAATATAAAGAGGACACCACATTAATAGCCATTTCTAGGATTAAAACCATTTATATAATGCAATAATGAAGTGGATTTATTATAAATTTTACTAAGGTTCTGTTTGGGTTTAATGCCAGGAGAGCTCCCCTCTCCTACTCAATGTAGATAGTTTAACTTCAGCGAATGTACTAAAACTGATAGCATCCGCTCTTAAGATATAAGCTAGCACTATGTCTGCAGAATTGATAAGAAAATTATTTTCTCTAAAACAAAGCCAAAAGAAAAGATAAAAAAGGAAATGGCACACTTTATTCTTTATGTTTTTAGATGACAATTAAAGCCTTGGGATTAATTGTCTACCATTTGAGAGACCTCATTTTTTACAAAGTAAAGTTATCTTAGGAATTTCCTACTTCAAAACTGAGATGATGGTCTCAATTTAAAGTGTAAAATCTGTGTTTAAACCACACACCAATTTATTTTATTTTATTTTATTATTTTTATTTTTGAGACAGAGCCTTGCTCTGTCGCCCAGGCTGGAGTGCAATGGCGCGATCTCAGCTCACTGCAACCTCCGCCTCCTGGGTTCAAGCCATTCTCCTGCCTCGGCCTCCTGAATAGCTGGGATTACAGGCGCCTGCCACCACGCCTGGCTAATTTTTTGTATTTTTAGTAGAGACGGGGTTTCACTATGTTGGCCAGGGTGGTCTCGAACTCCTGACTTTGTGATCCGCCTGCCTCGGCCTCCCAAAGTGCTGGGCTTAGAGGTGTGAGCCACCGCACCCAGCCATCACACACTAATTTTTAAGACACGAGTTATAAACCAGCAACATACTGAAAAACAGATAGAAAATTGATTGCTAAATATCTCACCAATCCCTGTGTCTTTGCTTTGACGTTGTAAATCAATATCAGAAAGCGGATAATAAAATGCCTTTTCCTTAATTTTCTTTCACTTTGGGTATTTCCATTGTTAATATGTAGTATTAAGTCAGTCACATAGACACACACGTGCGCGCACACACACACACACAAATATATTATGATCTATGAACCCACCCTGTACTCCAGAATGCCAAATATAATGATTTCCAGGGCTCTTATATTCTCTCTCTACACTACATCAAGCCGTTTTTCTGCAGGATGGATGGGCAGAAAACTAGTATGAAAATGTCAACTTAAAGACAGTCAATAAAAGGGTAGTAAAAATTGTATTTGTATAATGGGCCAAATTGAAGCATCTAAAGGTCCCAGGAGACAACCCCATCCTATACACTGCTCCCCAAAGAATGACACTTTGGATAATTTGTATTTAATTTCTAGAATCAACTTCTATCTTTGTTGAAATGTAAAAACCCCAATTTTACAAGATTTCATCCCATTGTAAAAATAAGGGTCCAATAAATACGGATGCATTTTAAACAGAACATTAAGGAAAGCTAACAAGCACCGAGGAATCCTTCATTTCACAAAGCTAATAATTCCCACTATTTATCCCGAAAATCTTTGCTCATTCTTCTTCTCATTCATGTATTGCTTTTGTTATTTTCCTCTGCTCTAAAGATTTTTTTCTATTGAATTCATTTTTCTATTCTACAAATAATCACTGGTGACCCATTATGTCCATTTATGTACTAGTCACCACAGACAGAAATATGCATTTATACAAGCCAAGGTCCCTTTCTTCAAGCAACTCAGTTTAGTTAGGAAGGCACACAAGTAAACAGGCATTCATAACTCATACTTTATGCATTAGCTTCTAATATCATTGCCCAAAGCAAAGGACCAGAATTAGAAATTCTCCCACTCTTGGCTTCTGCCTTACTGATTCAATTAGCTTAAAAAATTGCTGAAACACTTAGCTCGTTTTTCATATTTTCCTAAGCATAATGGAACAATCTAGGCCTCACTCTATAAAAGGCTGTACAAGGTCTGATTTACCCCTGAGAAAAGTCAGGCCTAAAAGGCAGTAACATCTAGCCACCCAGCAGGAATGCTTTCAGGGTTGGATCATGTTTTTATTCTTGCAATGCACCATTTAAAAGCTACTGTGGTTTTCTGAAGTTCCATTTGTGGGGCATTAAACATGTGAGCATTCCTCTTTATACTGCATTATGCTACATTACACAACTATATTCCAAAGTTTTTACCTTTTCCTCCCTAAAATAAAAGGCAGCTAAGCTTCAGGGTAAAATGTTCACGGTACTGTATTTTAATACCCTGCTACTTTCAAGATGAAGCAAAATAGCCTCAGAACTGTATAGAAACCAGCCAACATTCCACAGCAAAATTTACTGTAAATACCTGATTTTGGTAAGGAATTCCTAATATAGCTGTTTGATTTAATCACTACAGGATACTACTTCCTCTGCAAAGATTTTCAAAACTTAAATAAACTTGGCATTCCCATCAGCTGTTTGTTTACAATAATATTTGACTTTTTTCCCTCCTTGGCAGGATTAATGACTTACATTAGAATTATACTTGCAAGGAAAGAATGACTTAATGTTTGCCATTTCATATCAAATTTGAAGTATATCAGCTAAAAGTAAATTTAACACAAAAGTCAATATGAAATGTGAAACTTCAGCCACTCTTGGATTATTCATGTTTTAAAAGCCATACAATCCGAATTTCTTTGTAGAACAACAGTAAAAACTGGAGCTGGAGGAAAACTTGGAGATCAAGTAGAACCAAATAATTTTACAAAGGACAAAACTGGAGGTCAAATAGGTTAAGTAACTGGCCCAAGGTAATAAAGCTCAGTCTTAGTCAAACCAAGACAAAATCCCAAGCCAATGATTCTCAGTCCAATAATTTTAATGGGTACCAGGGTACAATGATGATTTATACACATAGCACTGCACCCTTCTAGGCTATAGCCAGTAAGCAGAACTCTCACAGAGCCAGAGTCTTTGTCCACAACTTCATAGCACTTCTCAGGATCAAGCCCAAATCCCTAAAGCCCATATTAAAGGCAACTTATGTCTAGAAACCAAATGAAAAGGATCTGGAGCCTCCAGGGAGGGAGAAGATAAGCACAGTCCAAGGATGGTCCCTTTGGAACAGAACCGAAGTAAAAACCCAGGCATCCCCTTCGGCTCAGCGTGTTACCTGGCCTTTTCACCGTTAGGGGATCCTTCTCTTTGACAGGTCATTTCAGTTTCCCTAAAATCTATTGCAGCATAAAGAGAAGCTCATGGCAGAATGAACCATAGGATGGCGGCTTGGAGAACTGGAACAAAGCAGGAGGTGGGATTCAAACCAGTGCCCACCTACATCAGGCTTTAGTGTATGGCCTATTCTAAGTCCACACTAGAGCAAACCTCACTCTAGTGCTACTAATAATGAGAACAGATTCTACTAATGATGACCCAGACTTTCCTTGCCACAGTCCCCGTAAAGCATCCTTTATTCCACGTACTCAGACTTCTTCATCCTCCAGTGCTATATATATACTCCCATCTCCACAAATTGTGCAAGCAAAAATGTCTTTTTTTCCATATCCATTCACCAGAATTCACACTTCCTGTAAAATCCTTTGTATGTCTCTCTTCCTCCATGTGGCTTTCCCAATCTCTAAATCAAGCAGAATCTCTGAGTTTTGTTCCTATAGTATTTTTCTTTGTGCTTCTCTGTCACATTTAATGTCTTTTTTTTTCTTGGCAATAATTCCCATAGGAGAGTGTCCCAACTAGATCATAGAGGGGTGAGTCTGATTCACCTTTCTAATCTTTCAGTGTCTAGCACAATGCTTGGCACATGGTCTCCATAAACATTTGCTGAGTTGACTCTAGTTAACACACACTCTAGAATTACAGAACACTCTAGAATTACAGAAGCCCTAGGATTATTAATTGCTGATGCTAATCTTAGCATTTCTGGCACAGTAGCAATTTCACTTTATTCTCCTGCTCCTCTTTTCCTATCCTTTTTTTTATCTTATTATTATTATTTGTATTTTTATTCTGATCTTGATCAAGAGCTCAGAAAAGTACTGCCTATAAAACGTGTCAACATATATAGACAGGCTTGGCTGCTGTGTGAAGTGTACAGGTCTTGGCTCCATTTGGTACTGCATGAGATAGCATCTCCTCTCTTAAATCAACCAAGATCCTGAGTAGCAGAGAAAATCTCTGGCCATGCGTCTTTCTGCCATGGCAAATATAAATTATGCCTGCCCATTAAGTAAAGACATAAAGTAACCTTAAAAATGCAGGAAGCTATAAATTTCCCTGGAAATGTTTTAATCTCTCACTATCAGTTCTTCCTTGGATCACAATCAAAGTGTATCCTATTTTAAAAAGTCCTTATGGGTTTCTTCTTTAGCAGAATGCTTTGTTTCACATGAATGTCTGGGATGGAGCAAAAGCCATTTGTGTTTTAGTGTAACATCTCAGAAGGATATATTTCATTTTCTCAATTAAATTGTGACCCTCTATGAATTCATGTTCTGTTTCTGAGTAAAAGAACTTTGAGAAACAATGGCCATTTCACATAACAAAACTTGATCACAAAATATTATTGTGTAAAATTGTCCAAACAACTCTGCTAATACAGCTGTTCAAACATCTGGATTACTCCATCACAAAAATCTCTCTCCCTATGAGCCTTCTCCCAGGAGCATATCCTACACCAAGGTCTTTGTGATAAGTGATGACAGTAGACACACCAGTTCTCCAACTTAGAATCACTAGTTCCCTATTACTGCAATGAATAGAATCCTGTTTAGGAAGTACTCCTTTACTAGGATAAACAAAACTCACTTATTTATCTACAAAGAGAGCAAAATATTCAAACAAAATGCATTACTTACCATATTTACCCTGAAATAGATCTACATGTATGTGCGTATTTATATAAATTTACACATGTAGATGTATTTATTTATATATATTCACATATATTCACATCCCAACATCCAGACTATCTGTCAAGAGTCTCTTAATTCCTCATAACCTGGATGTGAACTTTACTGTAAAATAATCACATTTATATTTGGTTTCAAAAACCATTCATAAAATATTTTTAGTGTCTTATAAAGTATGTGGCTTGTATTATTATAAAAGGAAGAAGCATAAGTGAGACATTTTATAAAAATCATTTTGTAAGTGAGAAATTTATAAAAATCCAGCCTTGCATACACACACATTTCTATAAACTCAACAGAAGTGGGTCCCAAGTATTCTGAGGACAGCACAGAATGCAGGCTCATTGAAGGAAGGAACTAGGCCTATTTGGGTTCGTATTCATAGTACTTAGTCCAAAAATAATCGTGTACCTAAGTCTTTTGTGTCTGTTGGTTTTGATTTGTCACGTTGGTAGGTGAAGGTATATGTCCCTCTGACCACATTGTAGCCACTCAATCAGAAGACAACCCCTGGACAGGAAGTAGATAAACCAACTTTTGAAGTCAAATAAGAATGTGTCTGAAAGTGTTCTGGAGATATATAAAAGCACAGCCAATAGAAGATACTATTAAGAACATGGCTTAATATCTGGGTGAGAGGAATTAGAATAGTCATTGAACACATTTTCCTGATTCTGAAGCCTCGTGTGATATTCAGGTTTCATCTACAGCATGTTACAAAGCATGTAGGACAATAAAGTGGTGGTGGTGAGAAGCCTAAATAATTAAAAATTACTCTTTCCTGCAGTTCTGGGAAGGAAAGAGAAAAAGAAACTCAAGAACTTGAAGATCTTGCCAAAAATTCCATTGTGGAAGGAGGATACTGTCTCGAAAGCAGCGAGTGCCTCCCACTTCTCTCTGTTTTGATATACAACCCATCACCAACTTTGTTAAAACTATTTCTCATCTAATGCAACAATCTAAGGATCTAATCCCAACTAATTCTGGGTAAATGTCACGTCTTCTAGGGCAATTGAGAAAAGGACATTTCATTTGTAAGGCAGCATGAGCAAAAATGTCATCTGAAGGAGACTGGAAGGAAAAGTTAGAGAAGTTAGGCATTATAAATGAACATTACTTCTTCTTCTTCAATGTCTTAGAGGGAGAAGGAAAGAATCGGGGGCCAGATAAGGAGTCCAAGCCAGAGACACTATAGCATTTTACATCTTGAGGTTACCAGGAGGGGGCTGGGGGAGGCCAGCATGGAGGAGCAAAGCAAGTCTTAGGCCAAGTAGCATGGGGGAAATGTGTGAAGTTAGTCCTCAGAGGCTGTGGGCAAGAACAGAGAAAGAAAAGGGAGGCAGCCAGTGAAGGTGTCGAGGGCTACTTGAGAATATCAGATTTCTTCCCGAGAACAATGGGTCCCCATTCACAGTGACAGACTCTAAATCAAGAAGAAAGTAGAAATAGTAGGATAGACCACAGGGAGATTGCTACCAAGAGCCCTCTCTCTCCAGGCAAGATATGCTAGTTATTTTAAATTGTTTCAGTGCTGGAATGAAATACATTTGCAACCTTGGGAGATATAAAGCAAAAGGTAGAGGAAGTCTACATTTGGGAGTTGATTGAAGAGTAGAAAATGTAATTTTCAAGACTTGAATGTGGAGTTGGGGGAGAATGGAAGAAGAGGTTGCAGCTGGATGTGCCATTTGTTCAGAAGTCCCAAGTCCCAGAGGGAGATGTGTGCTGGAATTGGCTGTGATGAGCCAAGACTGTATCCACCAATCTCTGTGAGTTTAAGAGGAATTCAGAACATTCCAGGAGAAAGCATAATGAGTCTACAAACAGGGACCAGGGGACTCTACCAGTTTCACATCTCTCACTAAACATTCAAGGCATTGGAAAGTATTTGAGCCTGTTTTTCTCATCTAGTTGAGAAACGTGAATTGTAGCATGACAGTTCTCCTGCTATTAGGTCGCAAAGAATAAATGTTTCCCCTCTTTCCAGCTCTCAAAATTTAAGAAGTCTCTTCAGAACCTTGAGCAACAAATTCTAGGATATCTTTGTTTTTTATGTTTTAAGTTTCCAGCTCTTAAAAAATGCATGTTCTCCCAAGGAATCCAAACAGAATCCATATCTCTTTCTCACTTTGTGTGTCCCCCTCACAAATCTCTATGGCACAAACATGAACATAAATATAGGGCTGGAGCTGCTACTCTATATTTTCATGTCATTGAAAAGGCCTGTCCCAGAATTATGGAGTTCGCTGGTTTGCTGAGGACAACAATAATAATTGTAATGAAAAGACTGATAATGCTAGCATTTATTGAATGCAAGATATCATTCTAAGATATCAAGACATCCACATTTCATCCTTACAACAATCCTATGTGGTAGGCATATACATTTATTATTCATATTTATTTTGGGTTCACTGATTTCTTTTTTTTATGTAGGAGGTAGGAGGAAGGATGCAGAAGAAAATTACCTATAGGAAAAGCGTTGAGAAGGGTCTGCAGGGACTGAACCATAAAGTAGTGACACTGTTTTCATAGTTGGAAAGAAGTGGGCTACATTTGTAAGTACCTAGTGTGAGTTTTGCAATAAAACCTACCTTACCAATAAGCATGGTGGAATACTTAGTACTACTACTTAGTACATTCATACATGTCTCTACCATCTTGAGATTTCTGTATACACAGCATATGATCAGTTTTTATAAATCTACAGCTTAAAAAAAAAGATTCTTCTTGTTATAAGTACAGCATTTAAACACAAAACCAGCATGGGCCAGCCACATTCCAACTGAAGACCCAGAGAAAGAAAGGCCAGCAGCATAACTCTCAGCCCCTGCCCTGCTTGATGGAACTGATTGTCCTGGCAGTGTATTACTCCTATTTTACAAATGAGGAATCTGTGGCACAGAGAGAGTAAATAATTTGCTCAAGATCACAGACCAAGACTTGTACTTAAGAAGATTAGTGCGAGAACTAATAATATCAAACACTAGGTGATAACCTGTTAATTTCCATCTAAATGCAAAAGAGGCTCTTCAGGACTATGGAATAGAATGTCCTCTAAAATAAAGAGAAAAAAGCTTTCTTCATTTCCTAGGCATTTTCCTCTGAGTTCCCACAGTGGCAAACATTCTCTTACATTAACCTATGGGACATTGCCCCAAATATCCATTCAAATATCAGGTTCTCTGCTATCTGTGAGCCACTTAAGAGCAGTGAGCATATTTTTGGCTTCAGCATTCTTACAGTCTAGCATAGGGCTTTGCACATCATAGGTCTCTCTACATTTTGTTAAAGAAATTAGTACATTCAAGTCACCTTTTTTTTTTTTTTTTTTTTGAGACAGAGTCTTGCTCTGTCGCCCAGGCTGGAGTGCAGTTGTGCGATCTCGGCTCACTGCAATCTCCACCTCCCGGGTTCACGCCATTCTCCTGCCTCAGCCTCCCGAGGAGCTGGGACTACAGGCACCCACCACCACACCTGGCTAATTATTTTGTATTTTCAGTAGAGAAGGGGTTTCACTGAGTTAGTCAGGATGGTCTTGATCTCCTGATCTCGTGATCCGCCCACCTCGGCCTCCCCAAGTGCTGGGATTACAGGCATGAGCCACCATGCCTGGCTCAAGTCACATTATTTTTCAGCATTTTCTACATTCCTATTATTAGCTGTTCCTATGCTAAGCACTGTGGGTAACCAGCTGAGTTGGTTATAGCTCCTGCTTTCAATATTTGCAATATAATTGGAAAATTAGATGAGTAAATTGAAAAATTCACTAGAGAATCACAAAGTCCTTTGACAGAGTAAAATATGCAGTGTTAGGTGAACATAAAGAAATAGCATAAACCTAGCCTGAGGCTGTCAATGAAGCCTTCCTAAAAGAGGTTGTAAAAGACCCTCTGGGAATTATACCAACATCAGGGCCAGCATAGATATAGACCAGAAAAAACATGGGGACATTTGCACACTTTACAGTGATTGGATGCTGATGTTGCACAGGTTATGAGGCAGTCCATTGGAAAAGAATACTAAAATGCAACCAGAAGTCAAAATTAAAGGGCAGTGAATGTTCACAAATTAAATGTCCTCCCCAAAGATTATGAGGAGTCACTAGTATGTGGAAAGCAGGTAGTAAAATGGTGCTAGGAGAGATTATCCAACTTATGAGTCATCAACAAGAAAGCTGGCATGTTTTCTTGTTGAGAACATGTTGAGAGAAGAGGAAGAGAAAGGGCCTTTTAGGCATGGGGAGAAGGTTACAGCATGAGCAAAGTAGCCAAGAGCTAAACTGGAGGACAGGAAAGGGCAAAGGAATGGAAGGTATCACAGAGTGGCTATCACAGAGTGGAAGGTATCACTTTTGGCATTAGACAGAATTTATACAAACCTCAGCTCTTTCACGGAGTGCCTGTATGACTTTGGCCAACTTATTGACATACTGTGCCTCAGTTTCTCTTTCTGTGTCCTAAAAATAATATCACTGTATGAAATTGATATGAGGATTAACTAGCATATGAGATGTTCAACTAAAAAAGAAGGTAAGGATTTCCCTGTATTATGGTGACCAGACTTTACAAAAGAACAGATACATAATACAGAGAAGCCCTTATCTTTCCTTCCAGCTGAGCATACTGTATTATCTCATTTAATATCTTACATGGTTGGTGAAAGTCTTGTCATAGAACTCATGATACAATGAAGAGAGGCACTCTCTTTCATTACCAGCACCTGCCCCATCCCATTCAAAGTGCTTTTTGCTTTGTGTTGAACCCCTGGGTCCTGGGACTGCACCACCTGAGGTACCGAGGACCTCAGCTGGTTACTAAACCCACAATGCATCATCAGTACCGCACTCTAAGACACTCGGCACCACTCTGCAAAAATTCACTCACTGCTTATACCTCATTTGGGATTCTCACTTCAAGCAGTCTGTTACCAACCATCTGGATGAACCAGACAGCTATCAACCGTACTAGCAAGAAAATGTCAGAATTTTCAGTTTTATTAAATTGCTGTTCATTGGAAGAAATATTCATTTTCAACCCACACACACTCTTCACATTCCCAAGCACATCATTTTATTTATGTTTTTTAATGGTTTTTTGAAATTAGCCAGGCATGGTGGCACCCATTTCTAGTCCTAGCTACTTGGGGGGCTGAGGCAGGAGGACTGCTTGAGCCCCAGGAGTTCAAAGCTGCAGGCAGCTATGATTGTGCCACTGTACTCCAGCCTGGGTGACAGAATGAGAACCTCTCTCTTCAATAATAAATAAATAGCTTTTTGTTTCAATCACTATAAAAGTAATGAGGAAATTAAATAGACCTCTGGTTTTCCCAGCTCAGCTGCCTCACCTTAGGTGATGGGTTAATCTGTCTGTGGTCCCACAATTACCTGTTTACTCCTGGGCACATGGTATGCTAATAGGGCGAGCTGGTACACAATGGCTTCTCTGGCTTGGAGGAGAGGCTCTGCTTCTCACAAATCCATCCAGGAGGCTAATCTGGACTTTCCATGGATGATGGCTGGGAAGAAAGAAGAAATAGAGCAGAGAGACGCTTAGACCCCAGTCTGTCACTGTCTTTCACCAAAACTTGATTGGGCATTTCCTTTATCTGTGCTTTCAACAAGCAAACTTTAAGTACACAGTATGCTGTCTCAGCACACAAAACTTTTAATGATTTGCACTTATTAGGAGAAACCCCAGCCTTCATAGGATACCTAAACATTGTTACAAAATAGAGTCCAAAGTGCTAAAAGGTACTGAATAAAAGAGTGTCAAAATAGGAAAACACAAAAAGATAGCAAGAAAAACAGTGAACAACTACCTGGAATAATAAATTGTTACACTGAGTGCTTTACTGTGTTAGCTCACTTAATTATCATAACAATATTATTACAAATACACTATTATTACCCCCATTTTACATATGAAGAAGGTGAGGCTCAGGCCTTCAGACAGTTTTTACCCATGCACTTAAGGGACGACAAGAGTATAGGCTGTTGAGTCTATGCAGTCTGTGGATGGACTAGAGAAAGGATCCAGCAATACCTCACTTCACACAATCATCTAAATCTCCTGTAAGCAAAAAGGGGCCAGAACAAATCTAGCAAATTCCAAGATTAGTTTTCGGCTTCTGCTCTTCCATCCGAGGTCCTCATATGACACAGATTGACTGTAGTCTGAGGAATCGCAGACTTTAGAGAGAGCCCTTTGAGAATAAATTCCTGCTTCCTTCTTCTCCCTCTTGATGTCCACTGCCTTAGTCCAGGAAATCTTTACCTTTTGCCTGAATTATTGCAACAGCCTAGCTTCAAAAAAAAAACAATAAATTGCCCAGTTATCCTCCTGTGTCTTAATTCGAAAGTTGAACAGTTTTAAATTTTACAATAAAATTATAATTTATCTTGAGTTATTTTTTGTTATCCTATGGTATGAGGCAAGGATTGAAATTCGGGGGATTTTTATGTGAATAGTCAGTTTTTCTAGAACCATTTACAAAAACACTTTAATTTCCTCCTTTTAATTAACTTGGCACCTTTGTAAAAAAAAATCAGCTGGTTATGGATGTGTGGATATATTTCTGTTTTATTTGATATAGTTTTGGTACTTATGCTGATACTATACCATCTCTTGATTACTCTGTAGCTTCACAGTACAATTAGATGGAATAAGTCTTCTAACTTTTTTTTCCTTCTTTTTCTCTCTCTTCTTCCTCTCTTGCCTTCCTTCCTTCCTTTCCTTTTTTCTCTTTCTTTTTTAGTTGTTTTGAGACTTTTCTGATATCTCACGGTTACTGATTCTAATTTATCACTGTTGTGGCCAGAAACATATTCCATATGATTTCAGTTCCTTGAAATGTATTGTGATTTGTTTTGTGACCCTGCATATGGCGAATGTTTTATATCAACTTTAGAACAGAATACCTATTTTAAATGTTGGATGTGGTGTTTTATAATTGTCAATTATGGTCACATTGGTTGCTAATATTGTTCAAATCCTCTATATCCTTACTGAGTTTTATTTCAACTTGTTCTATCAATCTCTGAGAGAAGGTCTTAAAATTTTCCAACTGTAATTAGTTCTGTCAATTGTTGTTTTGTGTATTAACCATTTATTCATAAAGAGAAAATGAAGTTTCTCTCTTTATCTCTAGGAACTCTCCTATTCTTGAGACCCATTTTTTAATTAACAGTATAGTTTCACCAGCCTTCTTATGTTTATCATTTGCATGTTATATATTTTCCATTCTAATTCTTTCAATCTGTGTCTTAATATTTAAAGTTTGTTTAAATGGTTCATTTAAATGAATGGTTCGTTCTTTTGTGTCTCACACAAAGATCAGTTTTTAACAGTTTTTTGAAAAGCTTTGCCTCTGTATTCCTTCTTGCAGATTCAGGTGTTTATGAAGTATCATTTCACTTCAGCATGAAAGAACTTCCTTCAGTTTCTTATAGCACAGGTCTGCAGGAAACCAGTTAGCATTTGTCTATCTGTAAAGGCCATTATGTTCCTTCATTTTGAAGGATAATTTGCTAATATGTCATATCCTATGATATAATATTATATGATTCTGAACAAACTTTTTTTCCTGTCAGCACTTTAAAAATAGTCCAATGTGTTCTGGCCTGCATTGCTTCTGATGAGAAGCCAACTGATTCCTGCTTTTGGTCTCACACATGCAGTGTGTCCCTCCACAGTGTGTTTGCATGTGTACCAGGAGGCAGGAATAAGGCTAAACCAGTCTAAACTGTAGTTGATCTGCCTGGGTTTTATTGCAGAACTGGTTAGATGGTTTTGACTGGCTTCAAGTGATTTGAGCACAGGATTAGGGCTTTTAGCTCAATGTGGCTTAGAATCTGAGCATAGTCAGACTCTGAAGGACCCTTTAAGCTTTATAGCCCAGCGTGCAGATTTCTAAACCAGGGTGGTCTCTTCCTATTTTATAGCCTAGTGGCCAACTCTCTAAGTCACTGAGTTCTCTTTGAATTCTGGCCTCCTGGTCTGGGGTTTGGGGCCTCAGTATGTCCCTTCTCCCCTGATTCCCTTCCCCTAGCCTTCAGTGGACCTCTGAAGCACTTTCTACAAAGGTCTGCTGAACTGCAGAAGGCTGCCTCTCAGGTCTCCTGCCCCATCTACAGTTTTCTGCAAGCCTCTATTTTGCACTCAGCCAAAGCTCTGTATGCTCTGGATGAATCTCACTGCTTTCCTACTTGAACCCTAGCCTTCTATAAGCTGCTTCTGTGCACATGGGGAATGAAGGTTGTGCCTCAGAGTGATCTTCTTTAGCTCTTCTGACATCCCCCTAGCCTTCAGCCTGCTATGTCTCTGCTCCCCATGAATACCCATAGGTAAAGGTTAATAGGTAGGTAGAGACATTCTGTGACTGTGACTGGGGGTCCTCAGTATTCTGATCCTTATGCCAGGCCACATGTAGCCATTAAGAATCCATTAATTAAGTTTCCTCCATCAACATTCCTTATATCCCCAGAAGTTATGTTTTAACTTGTTCTATCTATTTCAACTTGTTCTATTTCAACTTGTTCTGCCAATATCTGAGAGAAGGTCTTAAAAGTCTCCAACAACAATTATGTCAATTGTTGTTTCATGTCAATTGTTGTTCATGTACTCATAAAGAGAAATTTTAAAATTTTCTAAATTTTCTTTCCATATCTTTTCCATCAACATGGAAAGAAAAAAATAAAACTGTGTGACGATCATACCATAGAACACTACACAGCACTGAAACTTCACAACTAGAGCTGCAGCTGTTTCTAACTGGCTATCTTGGCCCAGGAAGGGGGCCAAGATACCCAATTAAAACAGCTGCAGTCTGTGGCACTCATGGAGAGGAATGAAAGGGGCGAGTGAATGCAGCACCTTCACTGAAATATCTAGGTACTCACATTTGGATGATGAGAGAAACAACTCGAACTGCAGAAAATGAAGAAAAACAGGGTGGGGCGATGGCCTACCCAGGAGCAACAGGGAGCCAAGGGACCCCCCACCCCCAGCCAAGGGAAGTGGTGAGTGAATGCGCGACCCCCGGGAAACCACGCTTCTCCCACAGGATCTTTGCAACTCATAGATCAGGAGATCCCCTTGTGAGTCCATACGACCAGAGCCTTGGGTCTGACACACAGAGCTGTGGTGTGGAGTGTTGGCAGAGCAGCTGTACAGGCACACACAGAGACCCAGGAGCTTTACATACTCCAGTTCCAGGATTCCCAACAAAGGTGTCTGCAACTCAGGCAAGGCATGAGATACATACATACCCCTAGGAAGGTGGTTGAATCCAGATGGCTGAGCAGCGTCAGTCTGTGGGCTCTACTTCCATAGCACCTCACAAGGTAAGACCCACTGGCTTGGAATTCCAGCCAGCCACCGGCAACTAGGTGGAGCCTGCCTGAGACAGGATGGAGCCCCTGGTAGGAGGGGTGGGCTGCCATCTCTGCTGTTTGGTTGACTCAGCCATTCCAGCCTGCAAGCTTTGGAGAGTCCAAATAGTCCCGACGAGGAAGGGACCCCCCCAGCACAGCACAGCTGCTTTGCTAGAACGTGGCCAGGCCAGACTGCTTCTTTAAGGTGAATCCATCTGATCCATTCCTCCTCACTGGGTAGGACCTCCCAGCTGGGGCCTCCAGTTACCCCCAGATACATGTATTCTATGAACGGAGCTCTGATCTCTCCCTAGGAAGGAGTGTCCAGGGGCAGGGGAGGGCTGCCACCTTGGTTGTTTTGATGACTCAGCTGTTCCAGCCTGCAGGCTTTGCAGAGTCCAGGCAGACAGGGGCAGAGGTGGTTCCCCAGCATGGCGTGGCTGTTTTGTCTAGGTGTGACCAGGCTGCTTCTTTAAGTGGGGCCCTGATTCATTCTCTCCTCCTGGGGTGGGTCCTCCCAGCCAGAGCCTCTGGCTACCCCCACCCACGTTCTACAGCTGACAGAGTTCTAATTTCTCCCTGAAAGAGAGTGCCTGGGGGTCAGGTCAGGCCAGGCCACCGCCTTGGCTCTTTGTTTGGGCATCTCAGCTGGTCCAGCCTGTGGGCCTTGGTGAGCCCAAACAAATCAAGGGCTGAATGAGGATCCCCAATACAGCACAGACGCTCTAACAAAAAGTAGCCAGACTGCTTCTTTAAGCAGCTTCCTGATCCTATTCCTCCTGACTGGGTGAAACCCTGCAAATGGGGATTCCAGCCACCTTATACAGGTGCATTCAAGCTAGCAACAGGTCAGTAATACCCTGGGACGGAGATTCCAGAGGAAGGGGCAGGCTGTCATCTTTGTTATTTTTCGGCCTTCAGTGGTGAGACCTCCAGGTACAGGAAAAACCAACATGACTAGGGTCTGCAATGGACCCCCAGCAAACCACAGCTGCCCTATGGAAGAGTGGCCAGACTGTTAAAAGAGAAACAACAAAAACACAAAAACCCCATCCAAAGGTCAGCAACCTCAAAGATTGAAGGCAGATAAGCTCACAAAGATGAGAAAGAGGCCGGGCGTGGTGGCTCATGCCTGTAATCCCAGCACTTTGGGAGGCCGAGGCAGGCGGATCATGAGGTCAGGAGATCGAGACCATCCTGGCTAACATGGTGAAACCCCATCTCTACTAAAAAATACAAAAAAATTAGCTGGGTGTGGTGGCGGGTGCCTGTAGTCCCAGCTACTCGGGAGGCTGAGGCAGGAGAGTGGCATGAACCCAGGAGGCGGAGCTTGCAGTGAGCCGAGATCGCACAACTGCACTCCAGCCTGGGCAACAGAGCGAGACTCCATCTCAAAAAAAAAAAAAAAGCGAGAGAGAAAGAATCAGCCAAAAACACTGAAAATTCAAAAAGCCAGAGTGCCCCTTTTCCTCCAAATGATTGCAACACCTCTCCAGCAAGAGTACAGAACTGGGCTCAGGCTGAGATGGCTGAAATGACAGAAGCAGGCTTCAGAATGCAGATAAAAATGAACTTCACTGTATTAGGGTTCTCTAGGGGGACAGAACTAATAGGATAGATGTATATATAAAGGGGAGTTTATTATGGAGTATTGACTCACACGATCACAAGATTAGATCCCATGATAGGCCATCTGCAAGCTGACGAGTAAGGAAGCCAGTCCAAGTCCCAAAACCTCAAAAGTAGCGCAGCCTACAGTGAAACCTTCAGTCTGTGGCCGAAGATCCAAGAGTCCAAAAGCTGAAGAACTTGGGAGTCCAATGTTCAAGAGCAGGAAGCATCCAGCATGGGAGAAAGATGGAGGCCAGAACATTCAGCCAGTCTAGTCTTTGCACGTTTTTCTGCCTGCTTTTTATTCGGGCCATGCTGGCAGCTGATTTGATTGTGCCCACCCATATTGAGGGTGGGTGTGCCTTTCCCAGTCCACTGACTCAAATGTTAATCTTCTTTGGCAACACCCTCACAGACACACCCAGGAAGGATACTTTGCATCCTTCAATCACATCAAGTTGGCACTCAATATTAACCATCATACACACCAAGCTAAACAAGCATGTTGTAACCCAATGCAAGGAAGCTAAAAATCATGATAAAACAATGCAGCAGCTGACAGCAAAAATAGCCAATATAGAAAGGAACATAACTGTTTTGATAGAGCTGAAAAACCCACTACGAGAACTTCACAATGCAATCACAAGTATTAATAGCAGAATAGACCAACTGGAGGAAAGAATCTCAGAGCTTGAAGACTATCTTTTTGAAATAAGACAGTCAGACAAGAATAGAGGAAAAAAAAGAATGAAAATGAATGAACAAAACCTCCAAGAAATATGGGATTATGTAAAGAGACTGAATCTAAAACTGATTGGGGTACCTGAAAGAGAGGGAGAAGGGAACCAACGTGGAAAACGTACTTCCGGATATCATCCAGGAAAACTATACCAACCTAGTAAGACAGGCCAACATTAAAATTTAGGAAAAGCAGAACCCAGTAAGATACTCCATGAGAAGATCATCCCCAAAATACATAATCATCAGATTCTACAAAGTCGAAATGAAATAAAAAATGTTAAGGGCAGCCAGAGAGAAAGGCCAGGTCACCTACAAAGGGAAGCCCATCAGACTAGCAGCAGACCCCACAGCAGAAATTCTACAAGCCAGAAGAGACTCGAGGCCAATATTCATCATTCTTAAAGAAAAAAATTCCCAACACAGAATTCATATCCATAGAAACTAAGCTTCATAAGCAAAGGAGAAATAAGATCTTTTTCTGACAAGCAAATGCTGAGGGAATTTTTTACCACCAGACTTGCCTTACAAGAGCTCTTGGAGGAAGCACTCAATGTGGAGAGGAATAACCATTACCAGCAGCTGCAAAAACACACTGAAGTACACAGAGCAGAGACATTATGAAGCAACCACATAAACAAGTCTGCAAAATGAACAGCTAGCCTCATGATGAAAGGACCAAATCCACACATAATAATACTAACCTTAAATATAAATAAGCTAAATGCCCCCATTTAAAAGACACAGAATATCAAGCTGGATAAACAACCAAGACCCATTGGCATGCTGTCTTAAGAGACTCATCTCACATGCAAAGACACACATGGGCTCAAAATAAAGGCATGGAGAAAAATTTGCCAAGCAAATGGAAAATAGAAAAAAGCATGGGTTGCAATCCTAGATCAAAAAAGACCAAAAAAGACAAAGAAGGGCATTATATAATGGTAAAGGTTCAATTCAAGAAGAAGAGCTAGCTATCCTAAATATATATGCATCCAATACAGCAGCACCCAGATTCATGAAGCAAATTCTTGGAGATTTTCAAAGAGACTGAGACAACCACACAATAATAATGGGAGAATTTAACATCCCACTGACAATATTAGACAGATCATCATGACAGAAAATTAACAAAGATCTTCAAGATCAGAACTCAGGTCTCGATCAAGTGGGCCTGATAGATATCTATAGAACTCTCCACACCACATCCCCACTACAAAAAAAAAAAAAAAAAAAACCCAGAATATATAATCTTCTCATCACCACATAGCATTTACTCTAAAATTGATCACATATTTGGAAGTAAAACACTCCTCAGCAAATGCAAAAGAACTGAATTCATAACAAACAATCTCTCAGACCACAGTGCAATCAAATTAGAACTCAAGATTAAAAAATTTACTCAAAACCATACAACTACATGGAAATTGAACAATCTGCTCCTGAAAGATTTTTGGGTAAATAATGAAATTAAGGCAGAAATCAAGAGGTTCTTTGAAACTAATGAGAACAAAGATATAATGTACCAGAATCTGTAGGATGCAGCTAAAACAGTGTTAAGAGGCAAATTAATAGCACTAAATGCCTATATCAAAAAGCTAGAAAGATATCAAGTTAATGACCTAAAAACACAACTGAAAGAACTAGACAACCAAGAGCAAACAAACCCCAAAGCTAGCATAAGACAAGAAATAACCAATATCAGAGCTGAACTGAAGGAGATAGGGACACAAACAAAACCATTCAAAAGTCAATGAACACAGGAGCTGGTTTTTTGAAAAAATTAATAAGATAGATGCACTGCTATCTACACAAATAAAGAAAAAAAGAGAAAATATTCAAATAAACACAACTAGAAATGATAAGGGGGATATTACCACTGACTCCAAGGAAATACAAACCACCATCAGAGAATACTATAAACACCTCTATGCACATAAGCAAAAAAAAAAAAAAAAAAAAAATATATATATATATATACATATATATATATATATATATACATATATATATATATATATATATATATATATATATATATATATATATGAAATGGATAATTTCCTGGACACATATACCCTCCCAAGATTGAACCAGGAAGAAATTGAATCCCTGAATAGACCAATAACAAGTTCTGAAATTGATGCAGTAATAAAAGCCTACCAACCCCCCCCCAAAAAAAAAAAAAAAAAAAGCCACACAAAAGCCCAGGACCATACAGATTCACAGTTGAATTCTACCAGAGGTACAAAGAAGAGCTGGTACCATTTCTACTGAAACCATTCTAAAAAAATGAAAAGAAGGGACTCTTCTCTACCTCATTCTATGAAGCCAGCATCATGCTAATAACAAAACTGGACAGAGATACAACAACAACAACAAAAAGAAAACTTCAGGCCAATATCGTTGATGAACAGTGATGCAAAAATCCTCAACAAAATACTAGCAAACTGAATCCAGCAGCATATCAAAAAGGTTATGACCACAATCGAATAGGCTTCATCCCTGGGATGCAAGGCTGGTTCAACATAAACAAATCAATAAATGTGATTCATCACATAAACAGAACTAGAGACAAAAACCACATGATTATCTCAATAGATGCATAAAAGGCCTTTGATAAAATTCAACCTCCCTTTATGTTAAAAATTCTCAATAAACTAGATATTATAAACATACCTGAAAATAATAAGAGCCATATATGACAAACCCACAGCCAATATCATACTGAATGGGCAAAAGTTGGAAGCATTCCTCCTGAAAACCAGCATAAGACAAGATTGCCCTTTCTCATCACTCCTATTCAACATAGTATTGGAAGTTCTGGCAGGAAATTCAGACAAGAGAAAGAAATAAAGCATATTCAAATAGGAGGAGAGAAAGTCAAACTACCTTTGTTTGCATATGACATGATCCCATATATAGAAAACCCCACTGTCTCAGCCCAAAAGCTTCTTAAACTGATAAGCAACTTCAGCCAAGTCTCAGGATACAAAATCAATGTGCAAAAAATCACTAGCATTCCTATACAACAACAACAGGCAAGCCCAGGGCCAAATCACAAATGAATTCTCATTCACAATTGCCACAAAGAGAATAAAATACATAGGAATCCAGCTAACAAGGGAAGTGAAGGACCTCTTCACAAAGAACTGCAAACCACTGCTCAAAGAAATCAGAGATGATTTAGGGCCGGGCACGGTGGTTCACGCCTGTAATCCCAGCACTTTGGGAGGCCAAGGTGGGTGGATCACGAGGTCAGGAGTTCGAGACCAGCTTGACTGACATAGTGAAACCCCGTCTCTACTAAAAATACAAAAAAAAAAATTAGCTGGGCATGGTGGCAGCCACCTGTAATCCCAGCTACTCGGGAGGCTGAGGCAGGAGAATTGCTTGAACCTGGGAGGCAGAGATTGCAGTGAGCCGAGATCATGCCATTGCACTCCAGCCCGGCAACAGTGCGAGACTCTGTCTCAAAAAAAAAAAAAAAAAAAAAAAAAGTCAGAGATGACACAAACGAATGGAAAAACATTCCATGCTCATGGATAAGAAGAATCAATTATCATTAAAATGCCCATACTGCCCAAAACAATTTATAGATTTTATACTACTCCATCTCAAAAAAAAAAAAAAGAAGTCAGAGATAAACACAAATGAATGGAAAAACATTCCATGCTCATGGATAGGAAGAATCAATTATCACTAAAATGGCTATACTGCCCAAAAAAATTTATAGATTTTACGCTATTCTCATTAAACTAACGTTGACATTCTTCAAACAGAATTAGAAACTATTTTAAAATTCACATGGAACCAAAAAACAGCTTGAATAGCCAAGGCAATCTTAAGCAAAAAAAAACAAAGGTGGAGACATCCTGCTACCCAACTTCAAACTATACTTCAAGGCTACAGTAACCAAAATGGCATGGTACTGGTACAAGAACAGACACATAGACCAATGAAAAAGAATAGAGAACCCAGAGATAAGATCATGCACCTACAACCATCTGATCTTTAACAAACCTGACAAAAACAAGCAACAGGGAAAGGGTTCCCTATTTAACAAATGTTGCTGGTAGAACTGGCTAGCCATAATCAGAAAATTGAAACTGGACTCCTTCCTTACACCATATACAAAAACTAACTCAAGATGGATTAAAGACTTAAATGTAAAAACAAAAACTATAAAAAGCCTAGAAAAAAACCTGGGCAATACCATTCAGGACATAGGCATAGACAAAGATTTCATAACGAAGATGCCCAAAGCAAAATTGACAAATGGGATATAATTAAATTAAAGAGCTTCTGCACAGCAAAAGAAATCATCAAAAGAGTAACCAGATAACCTACAGAATGGGAGAAAATTTCCACAAACTATGCATCTGACAAAGGTCTAATATCCAGCATCTATAAGAAAATTAAATTTACAAAAAAAATTAAAAAGTGGGCAAAAGGACATGAACAGACATTTCTCAAAAGAAGACATATATGTGGCCAAAAAACATATAAAAAAAAAGCTCCACATCACTGATGGTTAGAGAAATGGAAATCAAAACCACAATGAGATACCATCTCACACCAGTCAGAAAAGCTATTATTAAAAAGTCAAAAAACAACAGATGCTGGCAAGGTTGTGGAGAAAAAGGAACACTTTTAGACTGTTGGTGGGAATTTAAACTAGTTTAACCATTGTGGAAGATGGTGTAGCAATTCCTCAAAGACCTAAAAACAGAACTACCATTTGACCCAGCAATCCCATTACTGGATATATACCCAAAAAAAATAGAAATCATTCTATTATAAAGATACATGCATGTGTATGTTCATTGCAGGACTACTCACAATAGCAAAGACATGAAATCAACCTAAATGATCATCAATGGTAGACTGGATAAATAAAAGGTGATACATATACACCATGGAATACTATGCAGCCATAAAATGAAATGAGATCATGTCCTTTGCAGGGACATGGTTCAAGCTGCAGGCCATTATTCTTAGCAAACTAACATAGGAAAAGAAAACCAAATACCACATGTTCCCTGGGCCTGGCCCAGGGAACCATTTTTTCCTCCTAGGCCTCTGAGCCTGTGATGGGAGGAGCTGCGTGAAGATCTCTGACATGCCCTGAAGATATTTTCCCCATTGTCTTGGTGATTAACATTTGGCTCCTCATTGCTTATGCAAATTTCCGCAGCCAGCTTGAATTTCTCCCCAGAAAATGGGTTTTTCTTTACTATCGCATTGTCAGGCTGAAAAATTTCAAAACTTTTATGCTCTGCTTCCTCTTGAATGCTTTGCCACTTAGAAATTTCTTCTGCCAGATACCCCAAATCATCTCTCTCAAGTTCAAAGTTCCACAGATCTCTACAGCAAGGTAAAATGCCTCCAGTCTCTTTGCTAAAGCATAACAAG
This sequence comes from Homo sapiens, assembly GCF_000001405.40. Taxonomy (NCBI): domain Eukaryota; kingdom Metazoa; phylum Chordata; class Mammalia; order Primates; family Hominidae; genus Homo; species Homo sapiens. Next base: position 18,632,549 of record NC_000002.12, on the reverse strand, counting down.
AGCCACCTTTGCTCCAGTTCCCAACGAGTTCCTCATCTTCATCTGAGAGCACCTGAGGCTGGACTTCATTATCCATATCACTATCAACATTTTGGTCAAAGCCATTCAACAAGTCTCTAGGAAGTTCCAAACGTTCCCACACCTTCCTGTCTTCTGAGTCCTCCAAATACCTAGGAAGTTCCAAACTTTCTCACATTTTTCTATCTTCTTTGAGTCCTCCAAACTGTTCCAACCTCTGCCTGTTACCTAGTTCCAAAGTCACTTCCATATTTCTGGGTATCTTTACAGCAGCACCCCACTACCCAGTACCAATTTACTGTATTAGTCTGTTCTTATGCTTCTAATAAAGACATACCCAAGACTGGGTAATTTATAATGGAAAGAGATTTAATTGACTCACACTTCAGCACAGCTGGGTAGGCCTCAGGAAACTTATGGCAGAAGGGGAAGAAAACGTCCTTCTTCACATGGTGACAAGCAAGAGAGTGTGTATGTGCAGGGGAACTGCCCTTTATAAAACCATCAGATCTCATGAGACCTATTCAGTATCATAAGAACAGCATGGGAAAAACCCACCCCCATAATTCAATTACTTCCCACTGGGTCCTTCCCATGACACATGGGGATTATGGGAGCTACAATTCAAGATGAGATTTGGGTGGGGACACAGCCAAACCAATCAGTTCCCTTGAAGGTTCCTTGGGAAACCCACCTAGAGGCCTAGATACATGCAGTTCTGGAATTTGCTTTTGATAAGCTTAATTTTTCCTTGCAGCATTAAGCACTATTTCTCCAGTTTCATCTCTTCCTTCTCCTATCTGGAGTATTTTATTATCTAGGCAGAATAGTCTACTTCAGTTTTAGTTGTGCCAAGTTCTCTCAGCTCTTGGATGTTTTACACCCTGTTTTCTCTTTCTGGAAAGATTTCCACCACCTCCACCTAAATAATCTTTAGTTTCCTTCAAAGTTTTTCTATCTTGTTGGGAAGCCTGTTCTTTCACACTACTCCCTGTAAGCTGGGTTGGGTACACCTCCTGTAGGCTCCACAACTTCCTGTCCTTACAGAGTGCTAATCATCCAGAATTGTGACTTTCTCTTCACTTGCCTCCTTCGATAGACCTTAGACAATTCCTTGGAAGCAGGGAACCCAAGACATTCATCTCTGACCCTTAAGCATTTGAAGCACAGTAAGTGCTCCATAAATGTTTGGTAAATCAATGAGTGAATGAGTAAGGACTCCAAAGCACCCTGATAAATATGATGGCACCAGGTCTTTTAAAGGCTCATTTCCCTTGCACAATCAGAACTAAGACAAACAACCTGAAGTCCTCCACTCAGAAGAACAATAGCATGCCAAGCCCTCTGGCACAGTATGGTCAGCAAAGAGTGTGACTTCATGAGATTGGTGAAGACAGCTGTGGCTACCCAGTGGTCACTCTTCAAGTTCTCAACAGAGCCTCAACAAGTCTAAAAGGAAATACTATGCATTCACATTGCTCTCCTTTCATCATTGACTCATTCTTTCAACAGATATTTATTAGGTCCCTGGGCACTTTTCTAGTATGGAGATTCAACATCAGTGAACAACAAAACAGAATGCCCCTGTTCTCATTAAGCTTGCTCTTTAGTTGCAGAAATAGACAACAAAGCACAAGATAAAAGTCAGATGATAACAGGGCTATGAAGCACAAAAAAGCACAATGAGGGACTTAGGGTGGGGTGCCAGTCCTATGGATGGTGGTCAGGGAAGTCTGCTCTAACTGGGTGACACTTGAACAGAGAGCTGAAGGAAGTGTGGGGGGTGAGTCATGTGGACCTGCTGGGGCAGAGACCATAGGACAGAGGGAAGGATGGCCAAAGCCTGAGCAGGAGAATAAGAGCAAGGGGCCTGTGCAGTTAGAAAGTGGGGAGGGAGACTGGGGAGAGAGGCCGAAAAGAGGTCAAAATCTAGTCAGAGTGAGATCAGGAGGCCCTCAAAGGTTATGGTAGGACTTTAGATTTGTTCTCAGTTCATTCAATTCTGTAACTCTACTTCTTTCTAGAAAAAAAAAATAGTAATCATGCAAATTTGGACCATCCTGTGTCCAGACATTGTTTACTTACCTTCCCATCCTTAGATTTTCACAATTTCTTAATCTCAGAAGTACTGATATCAGCCAAGTAGAGGAAAACATGCAATTTTCCCTGGTACTCTTCTGGAGAAACTCTCAGCCAAGAAGTCACAGATGAATTCTTCAAATACCTCTGAATTGCATCCATGATGTGACTCATTATCACACAGATTTAGATGCAGGTGGCCAAATCATAGCCTTCAAAACTTATTTCCTTGAACTATAAATCAGGTATCAGTGGGGCTGTTCCAGCTGTTCCAGAAAATAGGGGTTGCCTAGAAAAATCTTGCTGTACATTTAACAGCTGTACATTGTCATTGCCCAAAACAGACTAACATTCAGATTTTGCATTTATATTTCAGCAATTCTGTATTTAAATATCAATCCTGCTAAGGTCCAGTTGTTGTTTCACTATGTTGTCATTAGACCTGAAGGAGAAAAAATAGCTTTTCAAATTATACTACGCAGCCATAAAAAGGAATGAATTAACAGCATTTGCAGTGACCTGTATGAGACTGGAGACTATTATTCTAAGTGAAGTAACTCAGGAATGGAAAACCAAACACTGTATGTTCGCAATGATATGTGGGAGCTAAGTTATGAGGATGCAAAGGCATGAGAATGATACAATGGATTTTGGGAACTTGTAGGGAAGAATTGGAGGGGGGCAAGGGATAAAAGACTACAGATATGGTTCAGTGTATACTGCTTCGGTGATGGGTGCACCAAAATCTCACAAATCACCACTAAAGAACTTACTCATGTAACCAAATACCACCTGTACCCCAAAAACTTATGGAAAAATAAAAAATATATGATAAAATAAATGAAGAATAAATCATTAGTGGATACATATTAAAAAAATTAGAACGTGGGTCTTCTTCTAGAAGCAGAAATACCTGAGTTCAAACCCAGCTCCACAGATTTATTATTTTCTATTCTCAGGGAAGTTTCATAACCTTTTTTCTTCAGTTAAATCATCTGCAAAATGGGAATACTAATAGCACACAACACATAGGGAGATAGGGAGGGTTAAATGTGCCCAGGCATAGTAGGCTATATATATACACACATATATATATATGTAGGTTTATATAATGTATGATTGTGTTTGAATCCTAAAAATATTGTTATTTATAAAAATTAAAAGCAATCTAGTCATTTATTTTCAAATTGAAATTAATTCCATTTTAAACATTTGATAACTTCCAATTTTCAAACTCCAAAGCCAATGTAATCATCAGCCTCCCTAGAAGACTGTTTATCTATAAATGAATAGTTTTGGAATGAATGATATCTAAGTATTCTCAATGAAACAACTGTATAATTCTAGTGATCCACCAAAGGAGTCTCTATCCACTTTCTATGATTTCAGTGAGGTGGGAGAGAACTGAGACTGTTCCTATGTATCCCCATCCCCATGTACCTCTGAGTGGGAGGAGGAGGAACAAAAGGGAAAGGCTAAATTATACAGTCACGTGAGATCCAGCACAGTTGGAAAATGGGGCAGTTATAAAATCTGAGATCCCATGGTTACCTTATTCCTCTAGCTTTTCAAACCAATAGAAGGTTCAAAAGTATACCCTGCTACAAACACACAGTTTGAAAAATAATTTTAATCCGCTTGATAGTTCTTCCTTATATAGTGACCTCAGTAGAAGTTTGGAAAAATGGACAGTCATCTTTGCTTTTCTCCTAAGACTTTTTTAACCTTTGCAGGTGACATCATGGGTACTTCTCAAAGGCTCAGGACTGCTAGCCCTTACCTTGTTCACAGAGTCCCAGAACTGATGCAAACTCAGAGTTCACTTTGAAATCTATCAACATCAACTGACTCCTTCAATAGTTCAGAAAATAATAAATGGCCCCCAAGATATGAGCATTTAGCAGTATGTTTGGCCTTGGAATCTTGTTAAGGCACACAACTTCCAAATGAGAATTTACAAATTCACCCAAAGTCTTTTGTTGATAACCACATGTGTACTCAACACAGAAGAAAATATAGTTGCAGAGACGACAGAAAAAGTAACAAATACATCTGCATTTATCAGCTCAGTAAGTATTCACCAAGCTCCTACCCTATGTCATGTACCAGAAGGTACAACAGTCATTTTTATAGTTAGAGAAAGGGTATCTACAATTATCTTACTTTTTTGTTTACTTGTCTTTTGCTATGCTGTCTACTAAAATAAAACCACCATGAGATTAAGGGCCATGTTTAGTATTTATAACAGACATGGTGGACAAACTATAGCTCACAGGCCAAATCTAGCCTATCACCTGTTTTTGTAAACAAAGTTATATCAGGAAATAGCAAACTTATTTGTTTATAAATTTTCTATAGCTGTTTTCATACTACACAGCAGAGTTGAGTAGTTGCAACAGAAAGTATGTCGACCACAAATCCTAAAATATTTACTGTATGGTCCTTTGGAGAACGCATTCTCTGAGATGACTTCTAGAAAAATACCTTATATACAGTAGGTACTCAATGACTTAGTTGGATGGATGGATGGATGGATGGATGAATGGCGGATGGATGGATGGGTGTATGGATGAATTGTTATATTTAATCTTCATAACAACTCAATTTCATGTAACTTTTAAGTGGTAGAGCTGAGATTTGAACCAACTTCAGTCAAACCTATGACCATTCTACTATGTCATATTTTCTTCCTAAAATAACTCTGATATGTTTAGTGCTCTATCACTTATAAGACATTATTCTATTCTTATTTGACCTTAGTGACAACTTTCTCAGAGAAGTATCGTCAGTGTCTTCCCATATTTAGATGAGGAAGCAGGCTCAAAAGGGCAGAGTACTTCATCCAGCATCACTCAGCTAGTAGAAGAAAGTCTGAACTGGGCCCATGCATTAGAGGCCTGTTTATTTTCACTTATCATCTGTGCTCCTGAGGGGTGTGAATTTATCTTATTTATCTTTATATCCTCAATGCCTAACATCATTTGTGACTCATGGTGAACACCCCATAAATAGTGCCTGAATGAATGTAATTCATTTTCGCACTTCACAGAAGATAACTAAATCATGCCAAATTAACTTGTACAAGATTGACCTAAGGTCAGTTGGAGAATGAGGCTCATTGGTCAGGCTCAGAGCCTGGCTGTGTTCTGGATCATTGTCTTAGTCCATTTTGCTGTTGCTATAGCAGAAGACCACAGATTGGGTGATTTATAAACAATAGAAGTGTATTTGGCTCATGGTTCTGGAGACTGGAAGTCCGAGATCTAGGGCCATAGCTTGTGAGGGCCTTCTTCCTGTGTCATCCCATGGTGGTAGTGCATAAGAGCATGTGAGCAAAAGAGGAAGGGGGGCCAAAGTCATCCTTTTATCAGGAACCCACTCCCATGATAACAGCATCAATCTATTCATGAAGGCAGACTCCTGATGACCTAATCACCTCTTAAAGGTCCCATCTTTCAACACTGTTGCCTTGGGGATTTTGTTTCCAGCACATGAAATGTAGGGGACACACTCAAACCATGGCACTCACAGATTCCACCATGCAGGACACAGTCTATTATCCCTAACTCCAAACTTATAAGAGAAAATGCATAACTAGAGATTATTTTCCAATTCAAAAAATACTCAAATCTTAAATAGATCTCTCTACTAATGTCAAGTGATTTTCCTTTAGGTTGCACATGCAACATCTACTTCGTTTGTAAAAATCTTGGACTAACAGATTTACATTTTTTTTAACGTATGCCACGTCTTCCTCCAAGAAGCAAGAGACACTCTGCAAACATTAAGCTTACAGTAAAGGATGAAATGTTTTATATAATGTACCTTTTTTGAAAACTACTATAGAGTTTGCAGGAAACATGATTAATTGCATAAAAATTGCTTCTATCTTTGGCTAACTAGCATCCGGCAATGAATCAACTCATCATAACTGGAGATAACATGTACCCTTAGTGTTCAAATTTCTTAAAGATGACACTATTGCAAGTGGAAATATTCCAAATTCTGAAATATTTCCACAGCAATAAAAACAGTTAAGACACAACAGGCGAGTAGGGACAGCATTGTTCTGAACAGAAAGACAGACATGGGAAATGTGTGCTGACAGATGAACAGATACATGGGCCCTTCTTAAAGGGTCTGGGACATCTCCCAGAATGGCATGCCTTCTTCAGGAGTCAATGATTCAAATCCCTTCCTATTTCTGAGATGTTAGCAGTCAAACGCTCTTTGTTCTCAGTTTGAGATTTTAGGATAAAAGCTAAAGTTAGAGTAGCTGCTCTGGACATTGGCCAAGTGTCACTTAATGCATTTCTATCTTTCTCTTTTCATCTCCTCTCCCAATCCTCCTCCTCCTCCTCCTTCCTTTCTCTCTTTTTAGAATTTTCCTAAATTTGTAATATTTTTACTCAGACCTGAAAAATTATATTATTAGCACATGATATTTAAGAACTCTTTTAAAATATTGTCAAAAAATAAGAACAAATGATCAAATACATGCCAATTTCTATATATCCATTATTATATTTCAATAACGTATTCTTACGGTGTCTAATCAACTTACACCCTGGGAACTGATTCCAAAATTCCATATTGCATTAATTTACAAAATTTACAGTGACCTCACTTTCCCTTCAGTGTATCTGCCCTTCCTTCTAGATTCCATTATCACTAGACTAAAAGAATCAAACCACTGTTTTGTAATAATAATCCCAATTCTCACCAACACAGTTAGTACAAGTAAACAAAAAGAAAGCATTTGCAAACAGATGTCAGGACGCTATTATTTGCTGAAGATCTAGCTCAGAAGATAACTAGATTTTTTGGTATATGAGGAACTATAAAATTTGCAACCTTTAAGAAAATTTTCATATTGAAATAGCAAAACCTACATTTCTAAGATGCCAGATATAATAGCATTCAAGAGGAATGGATTATTTTAAATATTTCTTTCAGTGTTCTGATTCAAGAAAGTCTTAATACGAAAAAAATGTGCTACTATATTAAATTATTCAAGTAAAATATGGAACACAAAAAAGACAATTTTTCTCCCAATTATATCATTCAGCTCATTCAGCCATGGGCTTTCTTAAAAATAACAGTAGACACTCTTGCATGTCTCTAGTCTTGATAGCATAAAAGCCTCTATTTTATTTATTTATTTATTTATTTATTTATTTATTTTTGAGACAGGGTCTTACTCTGTCTGCAAGCTGGAGTGCAGTGTCACTGTCAGGGCTCATTGCAGTCTATACCTTTCCTGGCTCAGGCGATTCTCCCACCTCAGCCTCCCGGGTAGCTGAGACTACAGGAGCATGCCACCACATCCAGCTAATTTTTGTATTTTTTGTACAGATGGGGTTTCATTATGTTTCCCAGACTGGTCTTGAACTTGTGGACTCAAGTGATCCGCTCATCTCAACCTCCTAAAGTGCTGAGATTACAGGAATGAACCATTGCACCCGGCCAATAGCCCTTTAAATAGGAGAATTGACAGACAGGAATTGTCTCTGGTTTTAGGTTTATCCAGTTATTTAGAGTATTGCTATTACTTGACATTAATCTCTTCTTTTAAGCTTTCATAGCACATAGACTAACCACATAGTGTATCTACTCATATTTTATAGTATAAAGGTCCTTCTGGTGAAAAACTGCACCTCTTCTCTGGTCATATTCAATAAAGTCCCATGCACTATAACTTCAAGGACTGGCTCACTACTGAGTACCCTCTGAGTGCTTCAGGAGAGCTCCCTAAATCAGTCAGTAGTGTGGGCAGGTTGTAGTCAATGGACAACTTGCCTAACTCAGTATGTCTGTTTGGTCCTAAAATTTATTAACTTTCACTAAAAACAAGGCTTTTTTGTTCTACTGGGATGAATCCACCCTTGAATGGGATAGTTGTGGTAATGGCTGAAATTGTTCACATTGAGTTTATTTTATCATTATAAGTTAACATTTTTGATATGACAACCATGCACTAGACACTCCACTACATAAAATATCTCCTTTAATCCTCGTAACAACTAGAAAGCTATAATCATTATCCCCATTTTGCTGATAAGGAAACTGAAACTTACAGAGTTTCAAGGTCATATAGCAAATAAATGTCTTCAATCCAGCTTTGCTGGATGGTATAACCTATTTTTTTTTTTTGTTTTGTTTTGCTTTTTGGTCTAATTCCTCACTGCCAATAATATTTAATGTATAAGCAATTATTTAGGTGGAAACAAAAAATAAAGTACACATAAAATGTATCTTTTATAATGTAGTTTAAATAGCCTTCCCTCTAACTTTAACCCTCATCTTGAGTTTATTAGAATCTTGCAGCAACAACACTGGGCCTGGGATTAGGAAAAAGAAAGTCTAGCCTTGACTTGATCACCAATTTACTGTGTAATCTTGGGAAAGCCACTTAACCTCTTTGTGCTGAAAAATAATGGGACTTGATTGTGTCATCTCTTAGATTACTCACCATTCTGAAATTCTATGAGCTGTCCATTGACTAAGAAAGATTTGTCTTTGTGAAAATATATACCATATCTCAGCTGCAATGGTCATGACTTTTCAAATTAATGAAATTTTAAGAAATGAGCATCATCTTGAAATATTAAGTCATGATTAAGAAAAACAGCCAAGTGAATGGCCTGACTCTAAAGATGGGAAGGACAAGACCTAGGGTATGCAGCAAACATTGTACTCAAGGTTTTTCACTAACACTTTATCAATTCTGAGATACGTCCCTTTATTTTCATTTTACACAAAAGGAAATTAGGCTCTTAGAGGTAAGATTTCTTATCTGAGGTTATGCAGCTAGTAAGGGGCACAGCAGGGACCTGGACACAGATCTTCTGACATTGTCCAAAGAGTAGCAGCTAATGTATTAGTTCCTACAGGATCAGAGCATAGTTCTCACTTTGTTAATAGAGTGAGACTCTCCGAGACCCTAAGACAACCTATACCCTTCAGGCTAACAGTTGTCCCATTCTTTTGGTAGTCTTTGGTCAGAATGCTTCTCTAAAGAGTAAAATCCCTCTCTGAAATCACAGACTGTCATAGGTGGAAGGAGTTCTGGAGGTCATATAGCTTAATGTTCTGTCTAAAATTAAGTTAGTAGGTGTTCTTTCTTGTGAAGTAACCTGGTATCCTTTTAACAGGATGTACATTTGAAATGTGCATTAAATAAGCCTCCTATGGTTTGAATGGAAAGAGTGGAGAAAAACATAACATTTATTTTAAAATAATAATAATAAAGGGGAACTCCATTAAAATGAAGGAAGATCCAAACTTAACACAGTGATTAGGAGCTCAAGCCTCAAAGACAGGCTGAACAGGGTTCAGGCCTTATACTGACAGTTAATAGTTGTGACAAAGTCAGCCATTTAATTTAAACTCAATAAGCCTCAGTCTCCACATCTGTGAAATGGGAATACAATATCTGCTTCTTGTATTACTATGAAGATTAAATGTGTTAATCCATGTAAACAGCTTTGAAGTGTCCAGAACACACATAAAAGCGGGCTATTATGCTTACTTCCCAATGAACTAAGGGAGAGAACATGAAACTGCAGCCATTACTTAGCTCTGAACTCCAAGGCCCACAGCCTTTCTCTCATATCCCCCACTGCCATCATTAAAAAAAAAAAAAATTGCATTTCACTGAGGACAAATTGACTCACGTGCTTTGACCAGTTATTCAGGTCTGAGCAGCAGTTGCATTAACAGCAAAACCTTTCAGAAAAAGACCAGGAAATATATTGTTACCAACCTCCCACTGTAAAGTGTCAGTATTCAACAAGAATCACTGCTGGATAGAAGGCATCATCACAGACCAGGTAGAAACCTATGCGACCTTTAATCAAAACATATTTGGCAAGAACCGAAAATGTCAGAAAATGAGGAGAGAAGAAAATAGGATAAGGTAAGAAATATGCTTGGGCCTCAGATAGAAATAAGATGGATGGTTAGTGATAGGGCTGTGCCAGAAATTGGTAGCATGGATGATTTGGCTCGGATGAACTTGTCTAAAACAATAACTCTTGTTTATGTGCATTTTTTACAACACTTTCCTTGGAAAACATGAAGGTTCTTAGCACAGTACCTCAAGTTCTTCCAAGGAACAATTATAACAAATAGTTTTAGAACTACAACAAGGTTGGCAAGGATGAGAGTAATCAGGGAACTACAAGGACAGTGGGCAGCGAAGGGAGAAATGGCACAGGAACAATAAACTCAGATGGATGGGAACACAAAGAGAGAGGAAAATCACTCCGATAGTGCTGCTCTTCCAAATATTTCCGAAAGGAACCAGTTATTTCTTGATTCTCCCCTCCAGCCTTCTTTCTATCACCTCTTCCTTTCACACCTCACATTAGGAGCATCTAGAGGGCAGGGATCATGTCTTTCATCCTTGTCTGCCTGACCATAGGAATTCAGTCGATGCTTGTTGAATGAATAATTAAAATCTAAGTAACTTCCATCATGTGGAAGTACCTAAACCTACAAGGTTACATTTTCCAGCTCCATCATTCTCATATACTACAAGTTAACATGGCTAAGGCTCATATTATTTTTCTAGGAGCATAAACAATGTGGTCATAAATCTTCTTCACATGTTCAGGGTGAGTAGCTATAGAAACAAGTTCTGTGCTGCTAATGGTCTCAATATCCTTGGACTAATTATTTAATCCTTCTTAATATCTGCTGCTCCTTATAAAACAATATTACTACAAATTATCTTGTTTAAAGTTTGAGAGGGAATACATGATCTTATGTCACTTTCCACCTAACAAGCCTGCTAAGCCCTCTGGGGTATTTAGTTGACTATTTTTAAAATAATGACATTTGCATAAAATTATATATAGGATTTTTCTTTGGGCATAGGAAAGAAGTCCAGCCTAGAATCTAAAGAAAACAAATGCTAGAGGCAAAAGGTAGTGTAGTTTATCAAAAAAGTCACTGAACAGAGAATTAAGACATTAGAGTTCTGCATATGTCTCAGCTTTAACTTGTCATGAAATGTTGGACACAGTTTCTGGACTTCTTTTTCATTATCTGTAAGTTAAAGTGGCTGGAATAACTTCAAAAGCTCCTTCACAGTTCTAAAACCGAAAGAGTGTGGTCATAATTTAATATGGGACCAAATTTACACTACACATACATACAATGCTCCTGAATAAGAAAGCATAGTATTTGTGCTATTTAAAATTAGCTATTACAAAAAAGATTTAACTTGATATCTGGGAAAAGAGATATCTAACAAAATAATACATAAAGGAGGAAAATAAAAATGAATTTGGATCTGATGGAATAAAAGAGGAAGGGAAAGATTTTGATGACTTTCCAAAACTGAAGTTAAGCCAAGTTGTTCAATGAAAGTTTAGCAATATTTATTCAAGATAAAAACTACAAGACTTGAACAAGTTGTCCTAATTTTAATACCAAATAGAGGCTTAAAATAGAAATTAACACAATTACTCCCACAAGATGAAGAAATTTTAAAAAATCATAATTTCAAGCAAATCAGTGCTAAGTGAATTACAGAAGATATTAAGTTATTTATGACAAAGAAACTGGTACGCCTAATACATATATTATAATTATTTCCTATAAAACACTTTGAAAAGATAAAATATGCTTGGTTTCTCAAAAAACATAAATATTTCTATAGTATTCTCAGAAAAATACATATTAAGTAGTGCTCTTGAATTATTTTGAGAAATCTAACAAACCCTCACTTAGCACTGGATCTATGGGGAAAAGTTTTAGTTTCTTAATAAAACAGAATTATAAATGGATTACCTGGTTATGGCCCATTTTTTAAGTTGAGCATTGTAAATATCAGGGAATATTATCCTATAAATCCATAAAAGGAATCCACTTAGAGTCTGGGTGCAGTGGCTCACGCCTGTAATCCCAGCACTTTGGGAGGCCGAGGTGGGTGGATCATGACGTCAGGAGATCAAGACCATCCTGGCTAACACGGTGAAACCCCGTCTCTACTAAAGAAATACAAAAAATTAGCTGGGCATGGTGGCGGGCGCCTGTAGTCCCAGCTACTTGGGAGGCTGAGGCAGGAGAATGGCGTGAACCCAGGAGGCAGAGCTTGCAGTGAGCTGAGATCGCGCCACTGCACTCCAGCCTGGGCGACAGAGCAAGACTCCGTCTCAAAAAAAAAAAAAAAAAGGAATCCAATTAGAACATAAAATCTCCCCTATCACAAAACCCAGTCTCCCTTCTAGCTGCAGACACATCTGGTACAATGTAAAACAGGAGAGCGAGCACATTCTTGTTGTTCGCTATCTCAGTTCTAAATCACCCTCATGGATCCCTTCCTTGAAGCTGATTCTCTACTGCCTTCCATCTTTCCGTGAAACTCACCATCATTTCCCCATTTTTATCCTTACCTTTCTCCTGAATTTGTCACTTATCCTGCCTTTTAGCATTCAACCTCGGTTTATCTCAACGACACTGTTCTTCTTATAATATGATTCCTCTGACTATCCTGAATTAGCATCCTTGAAGACTTCAGTTGGCCCCAAGACTGCCTGCTTCAGTGTACTCTATAGTTTGGGCTTCCAGGAGCTGTCCTTAGCCCATGAAAAAAAACAAAGTCAATATTTTTACAATATTCTGATAGGTAGGGTTTATAAACTGGTCTCAATCACATAATGTTGAAAATGCCTCATCAATGCCTGATTATTTAAAATGTTGACTAAACATATGAAAATAAGAGCATATTCGTGAGACAGGGTCATCAATTGTTGTTCATTTGGTCAATAAAGAATTACTAAACACCCACTACATATCAAGCACTGGGCCAGGTGCTGAAATCCAGTGGTGAATAAGATTCATGCCATGACCACAGACACTTTAAAATGTAGCAAGGACAAACTTTTGACAGGTAATTATAAGTTAGGTGAGGGTTCTGAAGTGGAAGTGCAAATACTATAGAAATGCATTTTAAAAGGAAACCTATCTTATCCTGGGATGCTAAAAATTCTAGGTAAGGGAGTAAGTCAAAAAGGGACGTTATAAATTACTCGATCTTGAAGACTCAACTTACAAATAATGTCATTATGAGCTGGAAAGAAAAAGTGACCAGCTTGCTTGGTGAATTAATGGCTAACTGGGTAATGGCTAACTTGATATACTAATCCCTCTACCTTGCTGTTTACTCTCCAAATGGAACCTTCCAAATAAAACAACAGGTTAAGAAGACTGCATTATAGAGACTGGTACATTGTAGGCAAACAATAAAAAAATGTTATGGTAAATGAATATTTAGCAACATTTAATTCAACTGAATAAAAATGTTATAATATAAAGAAAAGTAGTATGAAGTAAAATAAATGTTATTATACACTGACAACACAGGTATCCCTTCTGATAGTTTAGATTCAGTTAATCTTCGAAGGACCAGCTAATAATTAATTTTCTCCAAGAAACCTTAGTCTGGTTACAGAGAGCTTCTCAGTACTCCTGCCACCCTGACTATTTGTACCACTCCTCTGGCATTTGATGTTGGCGTGCATTGCTGTATTTTCATTTGTATACTGTTTTAAGCTTGAGTTCAGCAGGGACTTCATATCCATACTTTGTGCATAGCCTTTAGTGCTAAACAGTAATCAAGGAAATCATGTCTATGGTAGGCAAAAATCTAGAGTGGACTCTAAGATTCTTACCAGATCCCTGTTGTATACATCCTATATAATGTCCTACCATTGAGTTTGGTAAGAATTTTTGCATATGTAATTAAGGGACTTAATCAGTTGACTATGAATCAATCAAAAGGAATAGTATATAGGTGGGCCTGACCTAATCAAATTAGCTCTTTAAAAGAGACTACTAGCTTCAGATATTCTCTTGTTGAACTTGAAAGACCCACCATAGTTCTGCAGCTGCAAGGAAATGAATTCTGCCAATAGTCATGTGAGCTTAGAAAAGGACTCTGTACCTCGGATGTGACTGTAGTTCCTGCTAACACCTTGATTGCATCCTTGTGAGACTATGGGCAAAGGACATAGCTAAGCTGTGCCTGCTTTCTTGACCCACGAAACTATGAGATAATCAACGTGCATTGCTTAAGCCATTAGGTTCATGGCAAATTGTTATGTAGCAATAGAAAACTAACATAATATCTGTGCTGATTGTGCAAACCTGTGCAGGATGGCCTGGAAAGAGGGGAGCTGTTTCCTTCAAGCACACAGTGACAAATAGTATATTAGTCAGCTAGTGCTGCCTAACAAAATACCAGTATGGATGGCTTAAATCACAGAAATGTATCTTCTCAAATTTTGGAGGCAAGAAGTCCATGATCAAGGTGCCAGCCGGGTGGGTTTCTGGTGAGGCCTCATTCCTTGGCTAGCAGATGACCACTTTCTTGCTTTGTTCCCACATCATCTTTCCTCTGTGCAAAAGTGCAGACAGAATCTGTGAGACACTGAGAATCCAGCCGAGCCTGGGGAGACTATAGAGCTAAAAAACTCATTGTCCCTGTTGGCAGATGACATGACTGTATACCTAGAAAACACCATCGTCCCAGCCCAAAATCTCCTTAAGCTGATAAGCAACTTCAGCAAAGTCTCAGGATACAAAATCAATGTGCAAAAATCACAAGCATTCATATACACCAATAACAGACAAACAGAGAGCCAAATCATGAGTGAACTCCCATTCACAATTGCTTCAAAGAGAATAAAATACCTAGGAATCCAACTTACAAGGGATGTGAACGACCTCTTCTAGGAGAACTACAAACCACTGCTCAATGAAATAAAAGAGGATACAAACAAATGGAAGAACATTCCATGCTCATGGGTAGGAAGAATCAATATGGTGAAAATGGCCATACTGTCCAAGGTAATTTATAGATTCAATGCCATCCCCATCAAGCTACCAATGACTTTCTTCACAGAATTGGAAAAAACTATTTTAAAGTTCATAGGGAACCAAAAAAGAGCCCACATTGCCAAGTCAATCCTAAGCCAAAAGAACAACGCTGGAGGCATCACGCTACCTGACTTCAAACTATACTACAAGGATACAGTAACCAAAACAGCATGGTACTGGTACCAAAACAGAGATATAGACCAATGGAACAGAATAGAGCCCTGAGAAATAATGCCACATATCTGCAACTATCTGATCTTTGACAAACCTGACAAAAAGAAGAAATGGGGAAAGGATTCCCTATTTAATAAATGGTGCTGGGAAACTGGCTAGCCATATGTAGAAAGCTGAAACTGGATCCCTTCCTTACACCTTATATAAAAATTAATTCAAGATGGATTAAAGACTTAAATGTTAGACCTAAAACCATAAAAACCCTAGAAGAAAACCTAGGCATTACCATTCAGGACATAGGCATGGGCAAGGACTTCATGTCTAAAACACCAAAAGCAATGGCAACAAAAGCCAAAATTGACAAATGGAATCTAATTAAACTAAAGAGCTTCTGCACAGCAAAAGAAACCACCATCAGAGTGAACAGGCAGCCTACAGAATGGGAGAAAATTTTTGCAACCCACTCATCTGACAAAGGGCTAATATCCAGAATCTACAATGAACTCAAACAAATTTACAAGAAAAAAAACAAACAACCCCATCAACAAGTGGGCGAAGGATATGAACAGACACTTCTCAAAAGAAGACATTTATGCAGCCAAAAGACACATGAAAAAATGCTCATCATCACTGGCCATCAGAGAAATGCAAATCAAAACCACAATGAGATACCATCTCACACCAGTTAGAATGGTGATCATTAAAAAGTCAGGCAACAACAGGTACTGGAGAGGATGTGGAGAAAAAGGAACACTTTTACACTGTTGGTGGGACTGTAAACTAGTTCAACCATTGTGGAAGTTGGTGGGCGATTCCTCAGGGATCTAGAACTAGAAATACCATTTGACCCAGCCATCCCATTACTGGGTATATACCCAAAGGATTATAAATCATGCTGCTATAAAGACACATGCACACGTATGTTTATTGCGGCACTATTCACAATAGCAAAGACCTGGAACCAAGCCAAATGTCCAACAATGATAGACTGGATTAAGAAAATGTGGCACATATACACCATGGAATACTATGCAGCCATACAAAATGATGAGTTCATGTCCTTTGTAGGGACATGGATGAAGCTGGAAACCATCATTCTCAGCAAACTATCGCAAGGACAAAAAACCAAACACCAAATGTTATCACTCATAGGTGGGAATTGAACAATGAGAACACATGGACACAGGAAAGGGAACATCACACACCGGGGACTGTTGTGGGGTGGGGGGAGTGGGGAAGGATAGCATTAGGAGATATACCTAATGCTAAATGACGAGTTAATAGGTGCAGCACACCAACATGGCACATGTATACATATGTAACAAACCTGTACATTGTGCACATGTACCCTAAAACTTAAAGTACAATAATAATTTTTTTTAAAAGTGCAGACAGAAAGGGAGAGACGTGTTGTTTCTTCCTCCTTATAAGGACACAAGTGCTATTGATTTGGGGCCCTACCCTTGCAACTTCATCTAATCTTAATTGCCTCCCTAAGGGCTCTCTCTCCATATACAATTACGTTGCGGGTTAGAAGTTCAAAATATGAATTTGCGGGACACAGTTTAGTTCACAAACAATAGGTAATGCAAGTGGATGGTAGAGGTATGAATGGGTAGCGGAGGAAAAGGGACAGTGCCTGAAAAATGTATGAAGGAATAGTTGTCAGGGTGCTTACTTGGATATTGCTGATTTGGGTATCGAAATTCTTATTTAAATCTGAGTGCTTTACTAGGATATTGAAGATGAAGGAGGAATTCAAGCTGATGCAAAGTTTTCAGTCTTGGGGAGCTCCATCAGAAGAGATGTAACTGACCTAAAAGAAATCATTATTCCTTAGTGTGTGTTGTACTTTGTTTTGGAAGGAATTATCTAGGGTAGAAGTAGGACAAGAAATTTTGCTGAAATTAAGGAATCAATAAGTTAGACAAGTAGTTGTGTCTACTAGACAACCAGAAATCTTAATTCAAATGAGTGAGAAACTTACGGATTTTTCCATTTTTACTTTTTGTGTTATTCGTTTTTAAAATTATATAAAAATTGTATATATTTATCATATAAAACATGTTTTGAAATAGATATACATTGTGGAATATCTAAATTGAGCTAATTAACATATGGACTGCCTGACATATTTTTCATGTTTTGTGGTGAAAACACTTAAAATCTACTCTCATAGCAATTTTCAAGAATAGAGTACATTGTTATACTCACTATGTTGTACAATAAATTTTTTAATGTAACTTTGTTTTTTTTTTTTGTTTTTTTTCCTGTTGTTGCTGGTTGGTTCCCAGTAAAGAATCTACCTATTTTATTGTGCTTAGTACAGTTAAATGTGGAAAAGTTATCAAATATAAGTTTATTGAATTTTGGAATATTTCCTATAGCAGTTCCAAAGTATGTTTCATAAAACATAAGCCTCATGAAGCAATCTGTGACTAAAGGATTTTGTGTTTATTAGAAACTATAAGTCTCTGCCAGAGATCCTCAATGCCCATTATCTAATGAGAGATTCTAAGATCAATGAGAATAGTCAAGAATAGTGGTTCCACAACACACACTAGGGCCTGTCGGTTGTGGTGGGAGAGGAATGGGGGAAGGAGAGCATCAGGAAGAATAGCTAAAAGATGCTGGGCTTAATACCTAGGTGATGGGATGATCTGTACAGCAAACCACCATGGCACATGTTTACCCATGTAACAAACCTGCACATCCCGCACATGTACTCTAGAACTTAAAATAAAAATTGAAAAAAAAAAGAACAGGAGTTCCCAAATTTGGTTTCATAGCAGAATCACTTAGTGCTATTTACAAAAGCACAGATTAATAAGACCCACCCTAGGTTTCCTAACTCAGATCTCGGAGCTGGGTCTGAACACTTGTACATGTAAGTTTTCCTCAGGTAAATCTTAAGCAGGTGGGCAAGATGCTTCTCACACTTATTTTGTGCTTTGTCTTTCTATGACCATGATTAATTAAGCTATTCCTACTGGAGGCTGTCATTCCACAAAGGAGAAAACTAAGTTTTAAAAGAATTCATAAGTGACCCTGCCCCATTACCTCATACAAAATGATGGAGCACAATCCAGGACTGTCCAACTCCAAATCATGCTGTTTCCACTACACTAACTTCCTTCCAGAGTCTACAAAATCTCATATTTCATTCAGGAATCTCTGAATGTATTTAAAGAATATTTGCTTAGTAGCTACATATTTAGCTGCATTACATAAAAAGATGAGAATGCACAGTCTCTACTTCTAAGTAGCTTAGAGGTTAATTCAGGGAAAAACATAATAGTGAGTAGAGGAACAGAAAAGGAGGACTATGTATTAGTTAGGATTCTCCAAAGAAATAGAGCCAATAGGACATTTACAGACATACAGAAAGAGATTTATATGAGGAATTGGCTTATGTGATTGTGGAGGCTGAGAAGTCCCTCAATCCGTGGCATAGTTCCAGTCCAAACTCAAATGCCTGAGAACCAGGGAAGCCAATGGTATAAATCCCAGTCCAAGTCTGAAGACCCAAGACCAGGGCTTGAAGACTGAAGTCAAAGACCTTTGGGAGCTGCTAACTGCTAACACACAATTTGAACAATTTGAACAATTCAGCATTTAACTGATTAGCAGGTGACTAAGCATGACTTTATGGAAAGGGGATGTCCAAAGGCAAGAGAAGATGGGTGTTCTAGCTTAAGCAGAGACAACCATTTCACCCTTCCTCCCCCTTTTTGGTCTATTCAGACCCTCAAGAAAAGACCCCCAGTATACATCTTGGTGAGGGTGGATCTTCTTTACTCAGTCTAACCAGTTCAAAAGCTAATCTCTTCCAGAAACACTCTCACAGACACACCCTGAAATAATATTTTACCATCTATCTGGGCATTATTTAGCCCAGTCAAGTTGATACATAAATTAACTATTACAAAGGGGAAATATAACAAACAAAAATATGACTACGATAAAATGTAGTAAGTGGTTTTAGAGAGGTTCCAAGGAAATGCTTGGCCAGGAGAGTGGAAACAAAGTCTGATGTGTGAAGCAGGCGGTAGGATCTTAGCATTATTTGAATGAGACTAGAGGATCAGGAATGGCTTCTTTGAGAAAATGAAAGTGGTGGGTGTTTGACCTGGTTCTTACAGGCAACCACTCCTCTACCACTGATAGATGGCAGAACAGCACAATTAAAGAAAGCTCCCTCTCTTCCCTTCCCACCAGCACCTTCTAGGAATGTGGCTTCTGTCAGCATGGTCCATGTCCTCCGAATGACTGGCCTAGGAAGGCTCTCCAAGCAGGCATCAGAAACACACATGGAACCCTTTGGGTGGAAAATTCTGGGGCCTTAGGTACATTAAGTATGGTATAAAGTGCGGAAAATAGTAGCATATGTGCTTAGGAAGTACATATGCCTTTTGGTTTTAATGAGTTTGTGTCTTGTATGGAGAAGCATGGCTAAGAAATAGAGTGAGTTCTCTAAAGTATGGAAACTGGATTGTACAGAAAATAGTATCTTTTAGTGTCACAGTGTGGACCTCTTAGTGTCACAGACAGGATTTAACAGGAAGTTCTGGGATAAGGAGGAGGAGGCAAGGATAAAGGACAACATTCTTGACAGAGGGAACTAAATAAGTAAAATGTTGAGAGAGGGGTAGTAAAGGGAATGGTCAGAGATTGAGTAATTCAGAAGCTTGCTTATTGGAAGCAGAAAGTATACATAGTACTTGCTTCCTGGAGAGCTTTTCTTCTTATGCTCCTCTTCTAGTCTTTGCTTCCTGAAAACCTACTTGTTACGGGTTGAATTGTGTCCCTCCCAAAATGCATATAGTGAAGTTCTAACCCCCACTACCTCACAATGTGACCTCATTTGGAACTAGGGTAATTGCAGATGTTATTAGTTAAGATAAGGTCGTACTGAAGTAAGGTAAGCCTCTAGTTCAATATGACTGTTATCCTTATTAAAAGGGGAATTTAGACACAGAGACATGCACACAGAGAGAACGCCATATGAAGATAAAAGCAGAGGTTGAGATAATGCTTCTACAAGCCAAGAAATGTCGAAGGCTGCCAGCAAACCACCAAAGGCTAGGCAAGAGCATAGAACAGATTATCCCTCCCAGCCCCCAAAGGAGCTAACCCTTCTGATGCCTTTATGTCAGGTTTCCAGCCTCCAGAACAATGAGAAAATAAATTTCTGGTTTTATTAGATACTCAATTTGTGGTACTTTGTTATGACAGCCCTGGCAAACTAATATATCTTATCTCCCACTCATTCATCCAAATGGCAAATTCTCTAGGAAGCCTTTCTCTTGCCACCCTTTATAAACCTCATTCTTGCCTTCTCACTTTTGGACTCTCAGAGCACAGTGCTTTGCTTTCTTCCTACTCCTCTTATGATGGACACAGCACCCACTGTGTCACAGTTATGTGGGCACTTGTCTTCTCTTCCTGGTAGACCGTAAGTTCCTGGGGGCAATCAGTGATTGAGTCAGTTTCATCAACTTATCCCTGAAACTTGACACAGCACCTGGCACCTGGTATGTACTCAACACAAGTTTGTTGAATAGAAATGACCTAAAGGAAAAACACAGGGCAAAGCCTGTGACAATATGCTCTTGGTCAATGCTATGTAAACATCACTTTTTTTTTTTCAAATGAAGAGCTATCTTGAGGCTCAATTTTTGGCACCTGCTCTGTGACAGGCACTGTGATTGCCCCCACTGATGTAGAGATGAATTGGAACAGCCCATAAGTTAAAGAAACTGGCAGTCTAGTGAAGGAAACTTTTGAATAAACATTCACAATACAGTGTGGTAAGTAGCAGGTTAGGATGAAGCCCGGAATTAATTTATGGGAATCTCAAAGATGAAGTGCCAAACCCACTGGAGAATGGGGGTGAAGGGTGTGGGGAAGCAGTGACTAACCAGAGATGGCGACAGCAGAGCTAAGACCAGAAGCCTGGGCCTCCCTGCTCTCTTTTGGAGGTGGCTGCTAACACACAGGCCTAAATTGTTGATCTTAGCTTTCCCAGCAATGTTTATTTGAACAATTCAGCATTTCACTGAGTAGCAGGTGATTAAGCATGAATTTACGGAGAAGGGATCAGTAGGCGGCACAGTTAGAAAACAGTCACCGCCTGTAGTGAGTGGTTACCCCTACCAGGGCTGAGATCTGAAAAGTCAGCAGAAGGTATGGTTATAATGAGTTTGCAGCCGACTGGAATGCAAGTCAGCGAAGTGCAAGACTGAGGACAAGGAGCTGCCACTGGGAGCTGCTCACATGGAATTGACCGAGCACTTCAAAACAGCTCCTCGAGACACAGGGGCCATGGGTTCCTGACACTCAGAATAAACCCTTGCTTCCCTTATTCTTGTAATCTTAGAAGCTGCTCAATTTAGGATGCAATCGTATCATAAGGCAATGACCCCTCCTTCTGCCTCTATCCAAGTATATTGATGTGCTAGGGCTGCCATAACAAATTGTCACAGACTGGGTGTCTTAAACCACAGAAATTTATTCTCTCACAATTCTAGAGGCTGGAAGCTAGAGATCAAGATATCAGTAGGGTTGGTTTCCTCTGAGACCTCTCCCTTTAGCTTGCAGATAACCCTCTTCTTGCTATATCTCCACATGGTCTTCCCTCTGTGTCTGACTGTGTCCTAATCTCTTCCAAAGACCAAAGTCATATTAGAATAGGGACCACCCCTAATTACCATAATTAACATTAATTACCTTTTTAAAGGCCCTATCTCCAAACACAGTCTTGCTCTGGGGTACTGAGGGTTAGAGTTTCCACATATGAATTTTGAGAGGATACAACTCAGCCCAAAAAAACAGAATAAGTTCTGGAGAATGGAGCACCTTTGTTTTGTGTTAGACCAAGCTTTTGATGAGGAATCTCAGAATTTTCTGAGTGGGGACAGTCACCTCCCTAAAGAGTGTTACCATCCCTTCAGAAGAGGGGGGTGTTCTCTCAGATAACTAATGGGGCCTGGAAGGACAGGCTCCAAAGAAGGCAGAGGTAGACTGATGGAGATTAATTAAGTGTAAGCATCGGGGCCTGACATCATGAGCTCTGGAGACACAGAGTGTTCTGAGAGGGAAGGAGAAGCAAGAGCTTGAAATCTGGAATATTTCCTACAGCAGTCAGGAAGTATTTCAAGTTAAGCACTTCTGGTAAATTGGCAAGGAGGCTTCAGAAAAAGAGATCTGGATCTCCAAGGTCCTGAAAATCTGTTGTGATTTTGTTTCTCATTCTTAATATTCACTTTCATGCTTAATTTTATAATCATAACTTTCTGTTGTTTCCTTTAAGCTTCAGAATCCTCCAAAAACTCAATGTGCCCTGGGAATGAAGTTGAAACACATAAATTTCTTTCTCACAGTTCAGACATTAGAATTGTCTACAAATCTAAGATGGAGCACCAGAGTTAGGAGTGCTAAAAATGGTGTCTACTAAGAAGACGAAGCAAAGAGCTGGGAAGTGAAAAATTCATGCAAAATGTGTTTTGTCTCTAGACTTCTGCAGGATTGAGCTGATGAAACTCGTCTTCTGGTGCTGTCTACTTCTCCCAGACCAAAGCTATCTTTGAAGTGTTCACTCTTGGCCTGCTGTCCATACTAAAAAATTCGCCTGTAGAGAGGAGGAAAAAGGCTTTTATCAGAAAATACTTTAAAAGCCTATACAGTGATTTTAAAATGACCTTTAGCAGGAACTGAGAGACTCTTTTCCTAGCAAGCTGGAATTTCATCTCACCCAAACCATACCTTTGTAAATAAGATCAAAGTAAGACGTAGAGGACCACACAATTCATATTTACCAAAACTTGTATGACCCATGCTAATTAACAATCCCAGCTGCACAACCTCATTACACACCATCCAAACTGCCAAGATGAAAGGTCAAAGACTGCAAGATCTACACAACAAAAGCTGTAATGCCTTAAGGCAATGCTGGCAGTACCCAAAATTTCACTCTCCTCATGGTATTTGGTCTCTAAATGCCAGTCCTTCTAGCTAGTCTTCTAAATGCCAGTCCTTCTAACTATTCTTGGACAGTGAGCTTGTATTGCCGGTTTTACCTTGAGATAATTTGAGTTTGGAACTAGTTAAGAATTAAACATGAATGTCAGAAAGGTAAAGACCAGATATCAGATGTATTACTTAAAATCACTAGATAGGAGGGTATAAATTAAATGAAGTCACAATGAGCTCCTTAATATTGTCTTCAATTTTCAACATACTCATTAGCAGAATGAACAACTGCAGGCATGCCCAGCCAGGCAGAGTCTACCCTGGTAAGCTAACCACATGGCAAAAGTGCCTTCTGATGGATAGTTAGATCTGAAAGAAACAGAATTTAGAAGGAATTAACTCATACTTCCTGCTTTCAATCTTATCCATCAGATAAGTCAGATCTATCCCAAGGGGAAGAAGTGAGTAGAGGCAGGGAGGGCAAAAAAGACTAGCGGGGGGTCCCTGTGGCCAGAAGACGGAAACATAAAGCATAGAGTACATAGGCTTCCACAAGACTGGCAACAAGCAGCTCATGTCTTAAAGATACTTTGATCTTTCGATCAGGTAACTGCGCTTCCAGAAATAAATCCAAAGAAAATACCCAGTGATTCAAACAATTATGTACCAATATCCTCATTTTAACATTAGAACAGGAAAATACAAAACAAAACAAAAAGGAAAAAGAATATTATATCTTTATTAAAATGTTTCATAAATGCTTTTAATGAAATAAAATGGATACATGTTGTCATGATAAATTTCTAAAGGCAATAAAATTACATTATGACATAATCCCAACCTATTTTTAAAAGTTTTTCCACAAAAAAAACAGATAAAAAACATTATAGGCTTATTTTTAAAATATTATTATGTATTTTCTAAATGTTCTATAAAAAACATATATCATTTATATAATCAGGAAATAGTTTTATTTATCAAATTCCCCAGCTTACCCAATCTACTATGTTTATTATGTATATTAGTTTAATAAAATAAAGAATTTCATATTTAGGCATCAGTCTTCAATCATGCATTAAATAAAAACAAATGTTCTAAACATGTATAGCAAATTACCATATAGATAACAAATATCTATGTCTATATGAATATTCTCATTTTTCCACAATATAAAAGATAAAATACATATTTTTATTCTATTGATGCAATTCTCCTAAAAAAGAGGACAAATAACTAATATATCTATTGATTTCAGTGAACGTAATTAGTAATCAAATTATTGCCTTTGAACAACACAGCAATATCAACTTTTAATTATTCATGATTAGGGTTGCCAGATAAAATAAAGTATGTCCAATCACATTTGAATTTCAGATAATCAATATTTTTAAAATTATAAATGTGTCCTTTGCAATTTTTTAGAAGATCTATGTAATATTTGGAACATATTTGTACTAAGAAATTATCCATTTTTTATCTGAAGTACCAAATTTAACTGGCTATCATGTATTTTTATTTACTCAATCTAGCAACCCTATTCGTGATGTCATTTTTAAAAGCCACATTCTCTGCTCTGAATATCCATCACTCTAGTTCCAGCAGGGGCTAGAACAACTGAATTTACCAGAAACCAGTTCATCAAGCTAAGACTAGAGCTTTCTAATTCAGAGGGAAACACTCCCAGGGAGGACACTTAAAGAGATGCCAGGCTTGTAAAATTAGCTGTATATGCTCCATGTTAATTGCCTTTGCAGGCCTCTTCCTGTCCCTATCCTTGTTGCACAGTCCCAAATAAAACAAGAGCAGCAGGGAATCTAAGCGCCCTCATTTCCAAAGCAATCCTAATGAAATATGTGGGAGCCCAGAAATCCTCTCCCACTCTGAGAGCAGACCCAGCTGTATGGCTGCACAGTGAATAAAATGGAAAAGAGTTGAAGAGACTCTAGGAATATGACTTTCCAGCAAAAGGAAACCAGCAGAAACAAGATCTTTAGATAGAGACATTCTTTGCAGTGAGAAATAAGGAAAATAGGAGGTGAGTGGCATCCAGGAGGTAGCCAGATTATGCAGAAGGTGGCAAGCCCATTTTCACTCCAAGTATGAGGATCATTCATTGAAGGGCTGAGGGATGAGAAATGACATAGCATCATTTATATTTTACAAGGATCACTCTGGTTGCTACACGAGGAAGAGAATAAGTGATGGAGAGCAAGCTGAATTAAGAATTAGTGAGAGCATATAGGGTAGTTATTACATTAAGCTTAACTAAGAGATAATGGTGGACTAAAGTAAGAAAATAGCAATAGAGAAAAGACAGTATTGGTGGGATTCTGGATATATTCCAAAAGTAGAGTTGACATAACTAGTGGATGAATTTATGTGAAAGAAATCAGGTGGGGAGGCTGACTTCAAGGTTTTTGACTTGACAGACTGGGTGAATAGAAGTGTCACTTACTGAAATAAGGAATATTGGAGAAGATGCTGATTTGGAGGTAGAGATGGTGCTAGATATCAAAAAAAGTCTATTTTCAGTTTGTTCAATTGGGGATGCCAATTCAACATTCATGTGTAAATATTGTATAGGAAGTTGGGTTTCTGAGTCTGGAGTTAAAGAGCGAGTTCGGGTCTGAAGAAGTATCGATGACATTTAGAGCCAGTGCCATATATGCACACAAGGAATGACTATAGAAAGAGAGAAGTTGGTGGACAGATTATTGCATCTTTCAAAGCCACAGATGAGGTAGAGGGTTATGGATAGAAGATGCAACAAGAACAGCCAGTGATTTAGGGGGGAACCAAGAGCAAGTGGCCAGCAAGCCAAGCAAAGAAAAGTGACTCAAAGAAGAAGTGAACATCTGTGTCAAATGCTGCTATTAGGTAGAATAAGATGGGGGCCAAGGTTGACCAAAACTGTCCCAGTAGAAATGTCCCCTCTTAAAGTCTGAAGATATTTCAACAAACCTCTTCTGAGTTGTACTATGTGTCAAGCACCACACTAGGAACCAAGGACAGAGATCAGTGAGACATATCTCACTATAAAACTCCAGCAAGGTGGTTTCATAGTCTAGCAGAAAAACTGACAAGTAAATAGGAGCATGCTTGGCTCCTGCTGTTCAGTCACAAAAAGAGCTTAAGAGTCAAACTGATTAATTATACATCAAGTTCACCCTGCAACTGTCCTGCTTGCACAAAGTGAGGATGAGCACCATTGTCCAACAGTCTGAAATCAATGCCAATTAAATGCAAAACAAAAATAGGAATCATTCTCTCTGCATTCTAATTTTTGCAATTTAAATAGCCTTTACTTTCAAAAACTATTTGTGTATATACACACATACATACGTAAACACAAATATATGTATATGTTGCATTTCTTTGCAAAGCCGATGATACCCTTTTGTGTGTTTCTCATATTTTCTTTTAGCCCCATCTTTTGTAATACCATACCTCTATCACTTGCCTTAAGAGCCTGCGGAAAGCTTGTTTCCAGTCCTCTTCACCCAGTCCGGCCTCTCTGTTGAAATTTTCTTATCTATCTAGACTGATTGTCTCCAAACATACTGTAGCTGGAAGTTTCCATTTAACTAACTCTATAGTATACCCTAAGAAGCAGAGATCTGAAATAAATAACTCTTAGCCACTAAGAATAAGCTTCATTCTTTTTGCTTGTGTTTTTCACTGATACTGGCAAAAAAGGGCATTTTTTCCATAAAGAACAATGCTTGGAAGATCTTCAAGAAATTGAAAAGCTGTGTTTCCAACAGCAGGATTCTTGTAATGACAATTTGTAGATCAAGTCTGTTCTGCAAGAGGCTAAAAGTCTGGGCTTTCCACTGACATAGATGTCCACCTCCCTGTATTCTCCTTCCTTCATGTGAGTGCGAGGTGGAAAAGAATGTTTATCTTGGTGATCACTCTGTGCTCTAAGAGGGAAGCAACTAAACTAAGATGGTGCTGTCAAGCTACTTTCTCTTCAGAGAAATCAAAGAACTGTGCTTAAGGGGCAGGTAGTCATTTTAAGATGCATATGGTTTTGCATCTTAAAAGGACTACCTGCCTCTTAAGCACAGTACTGGGGAAGGATGTGGTCCAGAGTCAGAAACTGCAGTTGAGTCCCAGGGCTGCTACTTACTAGAATTACTCAAAGGAACCTTGGGCAAGGGTAGTGTGAATGACAGCTTCCTCATCTATAAAATTAAACCCTACCTACCTCTTAGGGCTATTGTAGGAGGATATAAATGAGATAATGTGAGTGAAATATTGCACAAACCATGTTGACCCCAATAAAAGCAAGCATTTACCACTGTGAGCTCCAGCTACAGAAAGTCAGTCTCAAGGGATCTTTCTCAAAGCATGGGCAAGAAATTATGATTTAAAAGTAATGTTTTTTCATATAAACATCTTTAGTGATATATATTTGCACCAAACAGATATGTGACTCTGAAAAAAAAATAGGACCTGGTATATTCAGTTTGTTTATTTTATACCACTCGTAAGGAATAGCAGAGTTCCTCTCCCCATAAAAGCTCTTTCTAATCAATAATACATTTAACCTCAACTTTAAAGAACGATTTAAATTAGCTTGTGATTCTCAAGTTCCTTCTTCCCGGAGAAGCTCTACAGAGTAACTTCCTAAATATTGCTTTTGTCTGGGCCAAATCAAACTGCAATGCCAGAAAGACACTACTGCACAGCTGCATTATATGACAGTGCCATCAAAACAAAATGGTGAAAACCAGAGCCATTTTTATTAATAACAGCAGAACCTAATTTCATTGGTTTTAATTTACCATTTTCATGTTTTACAATAACATTATCCAGATATAAATTGTTATGATGAGAAGCCATTCACTAGAGACCCCCCAAAAAAGTTATAACTCTGCTTTTTTAAAAAAAGACATTGCATATATCAGTGAAGGACACACTAATAAAGATTGGTCTGGAATATTTCTCTTTATGACAATTGACTTATCAGCAATAGTCACTGCAGCAGAGTTGGAAATTACATAATTGCCAGAAACTGTAGATATTTGACTTGGCAAGAACCCTAGGTTTATCTGATTTATTTTTGTAAGAATTGGGCCCCATGGATATTTAGAAATGTTTCATGAAAGAACAGTAGAATGTAAATGAAACAAGCAAAAATCCTCCTTTCAAAGGCTGCATTTAACTCCGTCGTCACTGTTGTGATAACACAAATAAACCAAAGACAAACCTTTGGTGATGGTGTTGGGCAAAAGCACTACTCTAAATTAAAACATTATGAGCTACTAACATCTGGACATTTTCTCCCTCTTCATAGTCATTCTCATCCATTTTCTGTGTGTTGTTTATCAGGGGGCAATGCAGAATGTGACACTGAGCCTCAGTACATATGCACAGTAACAAGGCCCACAAAACACACAGGGCCATATTCATGGGCTGGCATATCCTGACCTCTGTCTGCACTCTGTGAGGAGTCCGTCTATTGTTTACCAAGAGACAAGTGCTTTGCTAACCTCAAATTTTGTGCTCCTGCCTTTGTTTCTCCAGTGCCTGGCACAATGATTGATACAAAGTTCTCAATGAGCATTTTGCTATTGAATTAAAGCAAATGAAAAAGGTAGGCAGACTATGAAAAAATGAAATAACATAAAAGAAAGCAGTGAGGTAGAGTAATAAGAGACAGAACACAAAGACCTGGTTTCAAGTCCTAGTTCCAACATCAACTTGCTGCGTGACTTTAGATAACTTTTTCTTTCTAGGCCTCGGTTTCCTCATCTCATTTTACAAAAGTTCATCTTTTTTTTCTTTTTGAGACAGAGTCTCACTCTGTCACCCAGGTGGAGTGCAATGGCACGATCTCAGCTCACTGCAACCTCCGCCTCCCGGGTTCAAGCAATTCTCCTGCCTCAGCCTCCCAAGTAGCTGGGATTACAGGTGCCGGCCACCACGCCTGGCTAATTTTTTTGTATTTTTAGTAGAGATGGGGTTTCACCACATTGGCCAGGCTGGTCTTGAACTCCTGACCTCAGGTGATCTGCCTGCCTCGGCCTCCCAAAGTCCTGAGATTACAGGCATGAGTCACCATGCCCAGCCAAGTTCATTTTTCTTGATAGTATCTGAAATATTATCTATTCAATTAGCCCATATAAAGTCTGTTGTCCCCCCAGAAATGTCACACTTCCTCCCCAATACAATAAACTACATTTATATTCACCATTGCATTTACTTGATAAGTTCACTCATTTTGGTGATGTCCCTCTAGAGAATGTCACCTATTAGCTAACTTTTTGGCTGTGTTACCTCACAGCTCTGACATCATCTTATTTCTGATGTGCACCATCACATAGCAAAATGAAATTTAAGTTTTAAAGTTAAACTAGCCAGAGTTTGGATTCTAGTTCCATAATTTTCTCAGAAAGTTATTTAGCTTTTCTGAAATGTGCATCTGAAAATGAGATTACTATTTCCTTCATCACTGAGTTGTTGTAAGGCTTAAATAAGATAAATACATAATGTAGCCATCTAGCACCTAGCAGGTTCTCAATATATGTCATAGCTTATAATCTATCTGTTGCCACACAGATCCTATTGCAGAAATGCATGTATATTCCCCTTCGTTCCTATCTCACAGCTTCCCAGCCTGAGATCAGGCTTTAAAATGAGTGAGTTAAACAGATGCTAGAGACAGAGAAGGTCATTCATTTCATCAGTTAGTCACCCATCCTTCATTCCTTCAAAAACATTTATTGAGGCCTGTGATAAAGTATCAAAGTAAAAAGTACAATTAAGGGTTTCATGATGTCACAGGAGAGCCAGACATATAAAATGACAACTGAAATGTGGTGGAATATGTTTGAAAATAGAGGAACACACATGATGTTATTGGAGGAGCATCCAAACCTGTTAACAGCTGCCAATAGCTTGGCAGCTATTTCAAAACTCTCTTGTCTGCATTAATGAAAGAGCTGCGGCAATACCCAGATCTCCCTCTTGAGGCTATCTTTTAAAGCAAGATAAAAATTTAATAAAACATTGACTTCCTTCATAGAAATATATGAGCGGGATTTTAATTGAATAATTATTTCAGACACCTATGTATATACAAGAACTACATTAAAAAGTTCTTTTAATGAAAATATATAGAACTTGTAGGCTTTTCATTACCATAAAAATGTTCTTGAACACAAATATTTCAGATAGCCACAAGATCTTCACAGTATATTCAAAGTAAATGCAAACACAGAAAAGTTGGGTTGGAATTGAAGGTACCAATATAAACCCATAGTATTTAATGTCATAGACAGGCAGGTAGATAAAGAGGTATGGGAATAAGTGTGTGTGTGTGTGTGTGTGTGTGTGTGTGTGTATGTGTGTGTGTAAACCAGAGTTCCATCCACTGACAGGGCCTAGAAGCAAAAAGAACACTTAACACCTACATATCGACTTCTAAATACTATTGTTCACCAAAAAAACTAGAGCTGTGAAGAAATGGCTAATTCGAGGATGTGAGAGAAAAAGTACAAGACAAGTTTGGAAAATTTTGTTATTCTAGAAAGTAAAAAAGTGCTGAAAGAAACATGGGGACATTTCAAAAGCAAGGGAACCCACTTGACAGGGTCTCCAATGGCCAAATCTGGGACAATTTGAGCATCTGCATAAATCACAAACTATACCTACTGAATAAATAAGAACCTATGAGTCCATACTTACAGAAATGAGTAAATGTGAGAGAATAGGAAGTACTTTACTGAAATAGAATACCATCTAATTAACATAAAAGGAATAATGGAGCTAGGAAATCATCAATGGAAGCTAAAACTACTGATGAAAGTTTGGTCAGGATTTACACATTTCATCACAATTGCATATTACTTACACAGGGACAATTAGTAACTGAGAAACTTGGAGGGCACAAATTCAACCAAGTCACCAAATAATATTAGGACAACTTGACATTACCATCCGGAACGACACAACATCACTTCAGTGGCATTCCTGCCCCAAATCCATAACCTGAATCCAATAATAAGGAATTGTCAGAAAACCCCAAAGGAGGGACATACTACATAATATTTTGCTTATAATTTCCAAAAAGTCAAGGTCGGCTGGACACGGTGGCTCATACCTATAATTTCAGCACTTTGGGAGGCCGAGGTGGGCTGATCGGCTAAGCTCAGGAGTTCGAGAAAACATGGTGAAAATCCTCATCTTTACAAAAAATACAAAAATTAGCTGGACGTGGTGGCACATGCCTGTAGTCTCAGCTACTCGGGAGGCTGAGGTGGGAGGATCACCTGTGCCTGAAAGGTCAAGGCTGCAGTGAGCCATGATTGTGCCACTGCACTCCAGCATGGGCTACAGAGCGAGACTCTGTCTCAAAAAAAGAAAAAAAAAATCAAGGCTGAAGAAATATACCAGTGATAGAAGACTAAAGAGATGAAAACTAAATGCAACGTGTGATTCTGGATTTGATCCTAAACAGGGAAAATAATAACTTTAAAGAACCTTATATTGAAGCAGTTACCAAATGTGAATATAGACCATAGATTTGAGAATAATATTACATCAATGTTAATTTTCAAGTTTGTGATAGCTACACTATGGTTATGTAAGAGAGCATCCTTGTTTAATAAATGCACACTGAACTATTTATGAATAAAAGGGCACATTGACTACAATTTGTTCACAAACTAGAAAAAACATCTATGTAAGAGGAAGAAAGAAAAAAAGAGACAGAGAAATTGAGTGGAATAAAATATAAACAATTGGCAAATCTGAGTTAAACAAATCTAAGAATTCCTTTTTATAATTTAATTTCAAATTATCCTAAAATTCAACCCTGTATTATTTATTTATTAAATGAACATAATTCCTGTTGTCAGTTAATGGTCTAGTAGAGAGAAAGATATTTAAACAAACACATGAAACATCTTATCAGTAGAGATTTTTACTCTCAGCACAGTTGTGGCCTGAAATAAGAAGTGATTACCTCCGTTTGGGGAAGTCAGTGCACCTGGTGTTGAAGTTTGTATCAGAAGCGAGAAGGGCAGGAACTAGACAGTGAGCAGGATGAGGGTGCAGATACAAGAAACATTACAGAAGATAAATCAGCAAAACTCAGTGACCAAATGAACAGTTTCATGGTGGAGCCAGGAGAGGCTTTGCATGCCTCTCCAGTCCTGCTCAGGTAACAGAGCTCACTGGAATAAGAAACAGAGGACAAAGAAAAAATTTTGGAGGTAGATAATAAGTCCAGTTTTGGACATGTCAAGTTGTAGGTATTCCTGGGTCATCAGGGCAGCACTCATACCTATATTTACTTAGAATATCCTCTGCCAAGCTCTAAAGGGGACTAATCAATTACTGAATGTGTTTTGGCTGAAAGTTGGAAAAATTCAAATAGGCATAGTCTCATTAGAGCCCAGGGTTGATGGAGATAGATAGGATTGGGAGTCTCATTTTATGGTCCTAGAAAGTGCCTCCTCAAACCCTTGTCTACCCTATGACACAGAAAGTCTTTCTAATTGGGAACACATGATTTTTTACTCATTCTTTTATTCATTCAGGAAACATTTTGTTGAAACACTGTATTAAACACTGGGGATGCAGAGATGAATAATGCATAGGCTCTGTCCTTGAAAGGCGTTCACAGATTAGTGGAAAAGAAAAACATAAGAACAAGTAATTATAACTTGGCAGGCCTGGGGCTTAGGACAGAGAATGCACAGGGTGCCAAGGAAGGGCCCATGGTAAGACGCTAGACATGCAATGCAGCTGTGTGTCTGATTTTTACTGGTATTAAGGAAGTCAAGCCAAAAGATGCTAGAGAGAAACAGGATGTGACAGGGAGGAAAATGCAGCAATCTGTGATTAATTTGGGATCTTTCCTGAACTAGTGATTGGGAGGATGGTGGTCCTGGCCACAGAAACAGAAACATAGGAGTAAAAGCAAGCTTTTTAAAATTTTACTGGACAGGAAGAAGTGGGAAGCCAAAGGAACTAAGTGGAAAAGAAAACAAAGGTCATCGATGCCAAAGCCAAACGTTAAAAAACTGAAAAATGTCACTAGAGTGAATTCTATCCGTTTTCATCACCAAAAATACAGAATCCAAGCTGGTCCAGACTTGGGACTCTACTCTGAGCTGTGCTGCACTGAGGACATTGCTGACCTACATTTTGCAACAATATCGGGGTTTGGGGGACCTCTAGGAACAAGCTGCTCACTCCTCAAATATAATAGCAAACACACATATTTTCTCACCACTGATGGGGCTTTTGCCAGGAAATCACACAGACCCAAAATAAAAAACAGGCCAAAGGAAAACAAACAGACAAGACACACAGTCTGTCACCCATGGGGCACTGGGGTTCAGGGCAGGGCCCTCCCTAGGTGGTCACAGGGTCCAGATAAAACCCTACCCAGAGTGCCTGAAATATGTTTATGCAGGTGAACCGGGAGGCAGGGAACCTGGGAAGACGATGGTTACTGAGTGCCTGTCCTATGCCAGGCATTGTGCTTGATCCTTCACATTCCTCATTTCCTTTCTCTCTATGAAGTCACTATTATTATCATTCCTATTTTACAAATGAGGAAATGGGCTGTGAGGCTAAGCAACTCTCAGAGACACATAGGAAGTGGCAGCACTAATATGAAAAGCCACATCTGCAGAGTATGAAGATGTTTCTTTTCTTGGCAACATGTTGCCTGTCTCAAGGAGGTGAGCATGCCACTTGGGAGCTCCTGGTGCCTGAAAGCTCCTACAAGGACCACCCCCACACAAGAAATCCCTTGGTAACAATGCAGGCAAGGTGTGATTAACTGTGTGTACGTGCAGATGCCTTGAGCCTATTTGTTTGATTATTTTTCTTTCTTAAAAGCTACCTAATAGAGAAAGTCTCCTCATCCCCTCAGTCCCTTTCAGATCATAGGTTCTCCTAGCAAACTGATAAACTCCTGAAGAACCTAGGCCAGAAGTTATTTTCCTGCGTTGTTCTACTTAAGGCCTGGCCCTGGACAGCAGAAGCATTAGGACATCATACAGAACCAGTCAACACAAAGACAGCTTCTGTGAGATCCAAGACATGATCGCCTAAACACACCACGATTCCAGGTGCAGCAGCTTAAGTGCCTATGTAAGTCCTACTTAGCACCTGTTCATCTGGCTGGCGTGGAGCAGGAAACTGGATTATTTTCCCACTTTTGGATGAGGCATAGCACACTGATTAATGATGTGAGGGAGAATGAACCAAAGACAGGAGTTCTGCACACAAATGTCTTTCAGGAAAGCTATCACAGGCATGGGGAAAGAAAGGTGAGCATTGTAAGGAGGGGGTGGCAGACAGCATTTGGTTGATTAGGGTTTGGTTAATGCTGGTGAGTGTCGAACATTCCAATTCATGGCTATTACTAATGGGAGAAAGGGGTTATTTGTTAATTTTACTTACTAAAGTGAGTGTTGAAGGCAGGATGGAGGGGAAAAGGTGAACATGCACCATTTTGGCTAAGCCTAATAAAACGTGGAAAAAATTCCTCATGATTTTCTTAAAAAGAGGAAGACATCGATTGTGCACTGGCACCAAGCTCCCTTACCTTTATGAGGAAGTGGTCATCAATTTCCACTTAGCCTGCCCAGTTTTCAAGTCCTTTGGCCATCTTCCAAGTGACCTATTTCTTCGTTCATCATGCAGATTTTTGGTGGGATGTGTTATAAAGAACTTCCTGTGAACTTCCTAAGTGCTTTTCTTTGCATGACCACATTCGCGTTTCACAAAAAAATTGTAAGATGTGCATAGGCATTTAATTCCTATTTTACAGATGAGAAGATTGAACTTCAGAGCCCTAATCTATGCAAGTAAGTGGAACTTTTATTTTTCAAGACCTTATATTTTATAGAGCATCTTTACATTTGAGACTACCTTCCCCAGGATATTTTTAAAAATTCTTTTCTTAAAGTACAAGTGCTTTTTACTTTTTAAAAATTTTTTCCCAATCCATCAAAGGCGTTCTATCTAGTGTCCATGGACAGAGTTCTCTGGTGCTCTGACTCCATAGTGACCCTTGAATCATGTGGATGGTCAAGATGGACTGATTCAAGAACTATGAACTTCAAAGAAAACTTTTTTATTCGCTGATGACTTCTGAGAGACATGCTCACCTCTCTGGATAAGGTTCCCGGAACTTGTATTTTTCAGCTTTGACCTACATGAATGGAATGTTGATGTAACTGCCATCTGGGAAGAGGCCAGTAGATACACACTGACCTCTAGTCGATATTTTGGACAAGGGATTTTCACTTACCAGCATTTGGCAAGAGTATTCTGCATATGCACCATGAGCAGGGCCAAGCTCATGAGAAGCTGCTCCTTTATCATGATCTGAGACCTGTAGAGACTTTTAGAGTGATAGGGTTTGGCTGTGTCCCCATCCAAATTTCATGTTGAACTGTAGCTCCCACAATTCCCACGTCTTGTGGGAGGGACCCGGTGGGAGATAACTGAATCATGGAGGTGGTTTCCACATACTGTTCTCCTGGTAATGAATAAGTCTCACAAGATGTGATAGTTTTATAAAGCGCTTCCCCTTTCACTTGGCTTTCATTCTCTCTTGCCTGCCACCATGTAAGAAGTGCCTTTTGCCTTCTGCCATGATTGTGAGGCCTCCCCAGCCACATGGAACAGTGAGTCCATTAAGCCTCTTTTTCTTTGTAAATTGCCCAGTCTTGGGACTGTCTCATCAGCAGCATGAAAATAGGCTAATACATAGAGATACAGTCTCATTGGATGAAGCTCATACTTAGAAACTATAATGACTTTACTTATCCAATTTTTTGACTATCCAATTAATTACATAGGATTCCAGATT
Source organism: Homo sapiens (assembly GCF_000001405.40). NCBI lineage: Eukaryota > Metazoa > Chordata > Mammalia > Primates > Hominidae > Homo > Homo sapiens. The sequence continues at coordinate 18,596,572 of NC_000002.12, read as the reverse complement.
GGCCTATTGTTAAGATAGGTATAAAAGACCAGGCCACTGTAGAAGAGAAAGTATGATTAAACAACTGTCACTTCACAACTTCAGGCAAGTTGTTTCACTCTACACTGCTTGGTGATTAAAAAGTACTAAACAGTATAAAATGCAATGTGTCTAGCATGTACTCAAAAGTATTATTTCTTATTGTCCTTATTTTCTTAACATGAAGATTTCAAGCCACCCCATGGAAGCAGCATTCCAAGAAGATAGCCTTGGAAAGCACTGCAAGCCTTGGGAGCCCTGGGCTCAAGGACTCACATAATGTTATTTTCTCTGCATTATATTAGTTAAAGCATATCACAAGACAGAGCCAAATTCAAAAGATGGGAAATAGAATCCAGCTCCCAATGGGAACAGCTTCAAATTATTGTTCATGACTCAACTCACCATAGACCCTAACCACAAACCAGTACTTTGGGTCAAGCACATTATATGTGCTACCCATTTATTTCTTCCTAAAAACCCTCCAACTAGGTATAACACCCATTTCATAGACATAAAATAAAAAGATTTATTGAAGTTAAGTAACTAGCCTGATGTTAAGCAAGTGATCAGTAACAGAGTTGGTTTTAAAACTCAAATTTATTTGACCCCAAAACCAATACTGTTACTTTAGTATATGTAGAGACCAACCATGAAATACACTTCCATTTCTACAGAAAAGAACTAAGAAAGATATACCACTTTATCCTTGTGCTTACTTTTAGGACTATCCCAATGAAGACATCTTGAGTTTGTAAACTTTCTCTGAGGTGTCCATGTGCTCCTACATCTGTTCCATGCCCACATCAACAATCACAGACCTCAGAAAGGTGCAGGAGAAAGTACATAACTCCTCCAAAAATATCCACACACGCACATCCAGGGGACTTAGTGACAGGCTCTAACACATCCATACATGTTACATTTCCTAGTCTATACTTTTAAAAACAGAATATATCTTCAAATCAAGTGCCCATACTAGCCCCAGATAGTCCATATGCACTGAAACAGATAATGGTGGTCACCAATTTGCAAGCCTGGGTTTTATTTATTTAGTTCCCTATTTTGAGGATTCACTTAGGCAAAGTCAATTAAATGAGTGTGGAGGACAAAATTCTAAGATGATCCCTCCAAAGACCCTCACCTTTGTATAATTCCCTGCCCTGGGAATATGATGGGGCATCACTCCCATGATTATGTTATACATGGCAAGAAAGATTTTGTAGATATAATTGAGCTTACTCATTAGTTGGTTTTGAGTTAATAAAAAAGAGATTATCCCAGTGGGCATAACCTAATTATCTGAGCCCTTTAAAAGGAATTTTTTTCTGACGGATAGGATTCAGCACAAGGAAGATTCTCCACTAATGGGATGGAGGGGGCCATAGAGCAAGGGCCTGAGAGTGGCCTCTAGGAGCTGAGGGTGATTCCCTGGTTGACATCCAGCAACTTGGACTTCCGTCCTACAACTAGAAGAAACTGAATTCTGCCAACAACCCAGATGAGACTGGAAGTAGATTCTTCCCCAGAGCCTCCAGGTAACAGCTCAACATGGCTGACACCTTGATTTTACCTTTAACAGATTCTAAGCAAAGAACCCAGGTGAGCTTCCCCAGACTTTTAACCTAACAGAACTGTGTGATAACAAATGCACATTATTTTAAGCCAGTAAGTTAGTAGTAATTTGTTACATGGCCATGCAAAATTAATACAGCAAGCTGATCTAAGTGACAGGTGGAGATGATAAGAAAATGTGACCCTTTCCCCTTCTCCACAGCCTTTCTGTGAGCCTCAGGAATTATGCACCTATGCTGACTAATGTTAGGCCTGATATTTCCAAAACTATCCACCCCGTGACCTAGACTGAGTCCAGTGCTAATCACGTTAAATTTTCTAAGACAGTCTTGATTTGAAATATCACATTAGCCCACATATTATTAAAATCTGAAAGTGTAGTTACTGCTGCCATGGAGTATCTAGTTATTGGTTATAGGATCACAGCAATGATTTTTTTCAAAATTTTATATTCATAATTCACTAAAATATAATGATAACACCTATCTATTATTGTCAGGCACCTTATTATACTGTTAATAACCCTCACAGCCTGTATGAGAAGTAGATGTAACTTTTCCAATTTTGATGGCAACAAAACTGAAGTCTGGATGGAGTAAGTGATCCAAACATACAGACTAGCTAAGGTAAGATTTAAACCTAGGTCAGTCCTGCTCCAAAGTTCAGAACTCTACTGGGTAGTGATGCATTGATCTGTAAAATGGGTTATGAAGAAAGTAAATTAATGATTACTCAGGGCTGGGCAGGGGATGGGAAGATAGGGGTTGTATCTAGAAGATACTGAATTTATTTTGGGGATGTTGAAAATATGCTACAATTCATCTGTGTTTATAGTTGCATGACTACAAATATTTTAAGAACCATTGAATTGTACACTTTAAATGGGTGACTCGTATGGTGTGTTGATTATATCTCAATAAACCAGGATTTTTTTAAGGCAGTGAAAGTGTTTTGTTGGGGAAATCTAGATATATGAGGCTTGCAAAGGAGGCAAGGAATGGGAGAAAGACTCGGTCATGGAGTCTTGGATATCATACTAATTTGTTTCTTGGGGGAAAAAAGGGTTCTCCAGAAAGGGTTTTAAATAAGGGAGTGAAAGAATCTATTAGTGTTTTAGAAAGATCTCTTTAGTGGCTATATAACGATGGATTTAAGAAGGACACAATAGTACAGTTGAGGAGATTGGTGAGGAGACTCTTGCATAGCTCACTGGAAAAGATGAAGACTTGGCAAAAGCTAATGGAATGCAAGGGTGCCTGGTGTTTGAGAGACACTGCTGAGAAAAAAGACATGCAACTTGTAAGAACCTCAGATAAGGGAGAGAAAGGAATGTAAGACTGGGGTTTCTACCTTGGGAGTTCAGCTTCTTGAGCAGGTGCTGCCTCCCCTTTGTGGAATCTGGGAAACTGGACCCAAGGCAATGTGGGGAGAGGGAGGAAAGAAGGTAGGTACCTTAGAAATTCTACTGAGAGCCTAGGGCTCAGCCCTCCAGTCAAACACAAATGATACTGATACCTGGGTCTTACATTCAGAGATTCTAATTAAACTTGTCTGTGATTGTGACCTGGAAAGATCCGAGGCACTGGGATTTTTAAAAGCTCTCAGGTAATTGTAATGTGCAGCCAAGGATGTGAACCTACAACTTGGACAGTTCCTTTCCAGCTGAGGCAGTCAGAAAAGGACACAGATGTTGCTGGTGAACTGCTTACAGTCCAACCAATCAGACAGGGCCCTATTGAAAAAAGGTGAGGCTTTGTCTTGAGCATTGGAGTCTGACAGGCCCATTCTAGAGACTGTTTCACTAATGATAGTCTTTACTACAAGAAATAATATTTAAGATGGTAGAGGATTATTTGATGTTGTTCACATGAAGTCGATGGACCAGCTAGAGCTTACCTGTGAGTATGAAGAATTCCTAATTATTCTGGCTTAGTGATTATCAAAGTGTGGTGCTCAGTCCAGCAGTATCAGCTTTATCTGGGAACATGTTACACATTTAGGTTTTGGGCCCTATCCAAGTCTACTGAATCAGAAATTCCGGGGGGAGAGGCCCAAAAATTTGTGTGTATGTGTTTTTTAAAAAATTCATTAAACTTTTTAAAATTTTTGAAATAATTGTAGATTCATAGGCAGTTGCAAAAAAAAAAATACAGAATGATCCCATTACCCTTTGCCCAATTTAGACATCCTACAAAACTATAGTACAATATCACAGCCCAGGTGTTGACACTGATACAACCAAATAAAAAATACAGACTTTCCGTCACCACAGAGATCTTTCATGTTGCCCTTTTCTAGTTACACCCACTTAACTTCACCCACCTCGTCATGCTGGCAACCACTGACCTGTTCTCCATTCTATAATTGTTGTCATTTCAAGAATGTTATACAAATGAAATCATATAGTATATAACTCTTGGGGACTGGCTCTTTTTTTACCCAGCATAATTCTCTGTGGAGTCATTCATATTATTGTGTGTATCAATAGTTTGTTTCTCTGCATTGCTGATTAGTGTTCCATGGTATGAATGTGCCACAGTTTAACCATTCTCCTGTTGCAAAGTCACTTTAACAACCTCTCAGAGTAATGCACTGATGCACTCTCAGGCTTGAGAACCCCTGATCTCTAGAAAAAAAGCTTTAAAGGACAGGAAAGAAATACAGCACTCTTCTGGGTTTTCTTCCCATGCACTAACTTCATGGTCCTCCTCAAAGGCATAGGGAAATGACTTTTTAAAATTTCCACCATGGCCGGGTGCGGTGGCTCATGCCTGTAATCCCAGTACTTTGGAAGGCCAAGGCGGGTGGATCACCTGAGGTCAGAAGTTAGAGACCAGCCTGACCAACATGGTGAAACCCCATCTCTATCAGAAATACAAAAATTAGCCAGGCATGGTGGTACATGCCTGAAATCCCAGCTACTTGGGAGGCTGAGGCAGGAGAATCGCTTAAACCTGGGAAGTGGAGGTTGCAGTGAGCTGAGATCTTGCCATTGCACTCCAGCCTGAGTGACAGAGCAAGACTCTGTCTCAAAAAAAAAAAAAAATTCCACCACTACTGTTACCATAATATTCTGTATCCTGCTTATCACTGTTAAGTAAACGCATTTCTTAAAAGATTCATGTATTTATTCAACAAATATTTATGGAAGTACCTCCTAGTAACTATTCTAGGCAAGAAGAAAGCAGCAGTAGAAAAGATGTATAGGTCGCTTCTCACAAGCAGTTTTCGCTCCAGCGGGACCAGAAAAGACAATAAGCAAATAAACTCTTGTGAAACAAAGTCAGGTTGAAATAAATGTTATGATTGAAAATAAAGGGACATAAGGGTTAAAAGATGAAGGAAATGAGGTATCATTTTTAGTGACAGTCAGAGAAGTCCTCTCTGAGGAGACTGCTTGAGAGCAGAGTTAAAAAAATAAGGAATTAAGGCACGTGTATATATGGGCCGCTGCAGCAGATGGAGCAGCAAATTTAAAAGTCTTGCGACAAGAACATGCTTAACCCATTACATGGCTTGGATATTTGTCCCTTCCAAATCTTATGTTAAAAGATGACTCCCAATGTTGGAGGTGAGGCCTAGTGTGAGGTGTTTGGGTCATGAAGGTCAATCCCTAATGGATGGCTTTGTGCCTTCCCATGGTAATGAGTTACGAGGATATCTGACTGTTCAAAAGAATCTGGGACCTCCTCCCTTCTCTCTTGCTCCTGCTCTTGTCGTGTTACACATTTGCTCCTTCTTTGCCTTCTGTCATGATTGGGAAGCTTCCTGAGGCCTCGCCAGAAGCACATGCCAGCACTATGCTTCCTGTATAGTCTGCAGAACTGTGAGTCACATAAACCTCTGACTCAGGTCAGTTCATGCTTTTGCCTAGGCTTCCAGACTGTGGAGGAAGGGACTCCAGCCCACAGCCCTAGATTTGGGATGTCAGGCTTCCCTAAGTGAAGTCCTACCCATGAAACCTATAACAGAAGCCTCTGCTCTCTCCCTCGAAGGAGTGCTAAGAAGCCATAATGAGTTTATAATCCTGAATAGTAGAAATAAAACACCTAATTACAATGAGATGAAATTCACATTAGCTGCTCTGGCCCCAAACACAGCATACTAAGAAAATAAAGATGCTCTTGGTACTTAGGGGTGTGATTTTAATAGAAAAGGTAAGGTTCTCTGAAGTTACTCTGAAACGTATAGCACTTACAACTTTGATTGTCTACATAACTTATACAAATATTACACAATAACATCATAACCATGCAAAAACAAATGACCCCTGTACAAATTTTGGGTAGAATGCTGGGGGTTGGGTGTACAGTGGGGAGTAGGGGAGAGATGAAATAACTTAAACCCAGGCACTCTTACCTACAGCCTGAATGTTTTACTAACTAAAAGACTCCTTGGATAACTTAAATTAAAACCATCAACAACTTCCGATATTCAACCTTAGCTATCAACTTGTCCCATGAAAACAGGCTGGAAACCTGCCTCAGTCCTTGATGATTTCACCAGCTCAGGTTGGCATGGCACATGTCTCCTATCTAAAGCTTGGGTGAAGATAAAAGGAGAAAACTAAAATGGAGAACATGTTTAGATTCTGTAAACCAGAGTTAGGGGCTACTTTTTACAAATATCAATTCTATTTGTAACTGTATGTTTCCTGTTACTTGCCAAAATGAATCACAAACTCATTTGTGGACCCAATCATTTATCCATGTTCACTCTCCCAGACTTTGGGGGGCTTTCCTCAGATCTGGAAACTATTTTTGACAGCTGAGATTTTGTTCTAGACATGGAGTTTAGACTTGAGTTTGAGTTTAGCTTTAGTGTTTAAAGGGTTAAGGATGGGGCAGCCCAGGGTTAAGGGTTAAGGATGGGGCAGCAAAGGTAACATTCTACACTGAGTCTAGCCATGGGGAAGGGGCTTTGACAGTGTCTTCCTCAACAGGTTTTGCCATTGAAAGAAACATGAGACATTAAAGCTAAACTCAAACTCAAGTCTAAACTCCATGTCTGGAACAAAATCCCAGCTGTCAAAAATAGTCTCTAGATCTGAGAAAAGCCCTCCAAAGTCTGTCTGGCAGAATGAACATGGATAAATGATTGGATCCACAAATGACTTTGCCATTCATTTTGGCAGTACCAGGAAACAGACAGTCACAAATGGGATTAATATAATGAATGGCAGAGAAATGCTTAAAAAGATTTAAAAAGGAAGTGGTAATATTGATATTGCTACATATTGAACATTTGAACAATGTTTAGACATCAATTTCTGAAAACAAAGACAATGGCTATGAGCAGATACACTCAAAATGAAGAAACATTTATTTTTTGTTTTTTAAGAAAAGGTTAATCACATATTCATAGAGTCAGTTTGTTACTATGGAATCACATATGATGTCATAAATTTGACATTCTAAATGCAAAGCTAGACTGAGCAAGGGAAGTGACAGGAAATGGAGCTGGGGAGACAAAAATGTGGATAACAACAAAAGAATTTCAACAGGTAAAAAAATGAGTCAAACATCTCTCAAACAGAAAAAGGTGAGTGAACCGAGTGTCTTAGAATCTTGCCATGGGGCTGAAGAAATGTGGATATCAGTCCATCATTTGCCTCTGCAAAGGCTCTGCAATGATCAAATAATTTCAGATAATGGCTTCAGGTAGAGGAAAAGAGAAGGGAGAGAATAAAGGCAATGGAAAGAGTACAGAAAAGGGAAGAAGGAGAAATTTAAAAGAAATTAAGACAGCAAAGAAAGAGATTAAAAAACGTGTAGTATATAAATGATTCCAATAAGTCAGTATTCATTTAGCATATACTCATATGTTAGTAGTAAAAGGTAAAAACAGTGGCTGTCTTTGAAGAATGCATGGCCTAGTAGGAAAGACAATAGACAAAGGACAACTCATTGCTCCATAAAAGTATGTACAAAAGACACAAGGAACACAGGGCAATATTTCACTCTGGGAACTTCCCCCAGGTCACACTGAGCTGGGTTTCGAAGAACACAGGAGAGAAGAGGAGACCATAAGGAAATAAGGCTGGTGTATGCAGGCAAATACAAGTCACTTGGTATTAGTAGAACATAGTGATAAAGTATAGAGTGAAGGGCATGCAAGTAGCAGGTACACAGGAAAACATCATGAGGCTCCTGGTCAAACCAAGTGAAGAAAGTGTTTATCCAGGAATGAAGCATTACTAGATTTACATCTTGTAAATATTACTCTAAATAAATACGGTGGACAGATCTAGAAGTGGAGAGGATTTAAGGCCATGAAACCTGTTTGAAAGGCTATATTCTGAAAATGTAGTCCCAGGATGGTCAGAGACCTGGAACAAGGCAATGATAATAGAGATAGAAAAAAGGAACTGGATTCAAAATATCATTTGGAATTAGAAGTAAGAGGTATTATGGTGACTGCTATGTATGTGTATAAGGTGAGTGAGGGTTGATGAAAAGATTTTAAAATTAGTTCAGGAGTCATACAGCTATGCCATTCTCTCATGCAACTAACATTCTCATGCAACTAACATTGATGAGATTTTTCCTGCATGCAAGACACAGAGCATAAACGGATGAATATAGACTGCTCTAGTGGATCTTGGTCTAACTTAGAAGTTGTGCTCCTTAAACATATAAATAACACTAATCTTGATCACATTGCAGCTACTTACTTAGCATGAAACAGTTCAAATAATATTCCAATAAGTATCTCCTCCAAATGAAAATGAAAACATAAATATTTGAGTAGAGTTCCATAAAGTGAGTCATCTTCTTGTGCTCTTTTACTTGGTTTTCCCTATCTGTTGTTAATTTGTTGGTAAGAAATCCCTTTCCACTCTAGATCTATGAGTAATTAAATGATAGGAACAGAAGACATGACTTTCAATAAATTTGTATGAGATTAAGGTCCTTATATTTAGAAATCAAACTAATATTGGTGAGGCTAGAGCCACAAAAAGTTTGAGCTGTAGTGATGATGAAAACAAGAAAAAATTGAATTCTAAATGGCAAGGAAAAGTAAGTTCCATAAGTAGCAATCTTCAGAGTAATAGAAAAAAAAACAAACTTATTCTACATAAACAACTTCACAATTCTCTAATATTTCCCATGTTATCAGTCTTTAAACAATAAATGCTTTATATCTCAAATCTATGAACCAACAAATTTCTATATTAAAACTTGTTTATATAATTCTTTTTAATAAAATATGTGTTACCTTTTACTCATGCTTGTTAGAACAGGGGAAACTAAGGTCTAGAGTTTATACCTTTTTATATTGGCAAATAAATAAATTTTGTGTTTTCTTTATCCTTTTATTCTGAAAGCCAAAGTTCCTAATGCCCTGAGATTAAAAATTAATAAACATTCTTTGTTTCCTTGTCAAGAATGAGCCTGGAATGAGGTCCTCAAAAGAGAGTCTAGAAGCAGAAAAAAGAAAGGAATCTGACAAAACAGGAGTTCGTCTGAGCAATCAGGTGAGCTGATCTCTGTAGCAGAGGTGAGGAAATTAAGGAGCAGAAAGCATAATGGAAAATGTTAGGGGGCAGGGAGTTCTGGGAGAGAAGACCAAGCTGTTGAGAATTGTATTAAGGCGTCCCTAATGTCCTCATGAGAAGGTTAAGGAACTAGGAAAGGTTGGGCCCTGCCTTCCCCTCCATCCATACCCTAGTGTTCACTTCGAATGTGTGGAACCACAGCAGGCTCCTCTGCTCAGCCTACACAGGGGGGAGACTGGTCTTTGTTCAAATCAGGGAGGGGAGGGGGTCTGGCCATGGCATTGACCACTTTCTGCACAATCTTTCAGATGAGGCGTGCAGTCAATCCGAATCACTCGCTGAGATGTTGCCCCTTCCAGGGTCACTCGTCGTGTAGACGCTGCCTTTGTGCAGCTGAGGGAACAGCCCTTGGCCCCTGCCACACAATACGTATTTATATTCACATGTGCCTGTTGTGGGAGCAGGGCCAGCAGATCACCATGATGAGGGTGAGCAGAGATCACACTACCGATTCTGGAGGGGAACCACAGACAACCTGGGTGAGGGGAAGAATATGGCAAATAGAAACTCTTTTACTTTGCTGTTCCGGGGGGTCCTTCATTCTTGTTTCTCCTAAAAGAAAAGCTTGAGGGCTCCATTCCTTTTCAGCAGCTGCCTTAGAGTCCCCCTGCAACCTCAGTGGGGCACCAGTTGCCCTCACCTTTACAGTCTGGTAAAAAATGGTGGATATATTGTTTCAGCATCTGTTAACAGGCTTATCCTCGAGGGAAGAAGTGAGGAAAAGGGAGGAACAATGGTGAACCATACTAATATCCACATAAGAGGAGTCACAGTGAAAAAATATGTTTGCATCTTGGTTTTGGATGCTCTTTCAAGTGGACCCCCACATAGATGCTCCAAACAGAAGTGAGGACTAGACCAGAGTTAGAATAGTACAGAAGAGTTCAGGTTGAGTTAAGAGTCATTGAGGCCAGGGATCTTCTCACTGGGTGCTGCTATATTCAGCCTGACATGACTATTCTGCAGGCACACGTATAGAAGGAGTTGGTGATGGGGTTTTACACCGTTGGGTTTCTTCTTTCCATCACAGGGATCACAAGAATCATCACTGCGGAAGACAGACTCTCGAGGGTACCTTGTGCGCAGTCAATGGTCTAGAATATCCCGGAGCCCATCCACCAAGGCTCCATCCATAGATGAGCCTAGAAGCAGGAACACCAGTGCTAAGGTAGAGGTAAAGATGAAAGGGAGTAGTAGATGATAGAATAATAACAATGGTTAACATTTATTGATGCTTTCTACGTGCCAGGCCCTGTTTATGTGCTTTACATGTGTTAGCTAATTTAGCCCTTGGGAGAACTCCCTTCTGCCCGTAAATCCCATTTTGCCACTGAGAAACCTGAAGTACAGAGGGAACTTGTTTAAGGTTTCACATTAATAAGTGGTAGAGCTAGCATTAAAACCCAGGGGCTCCAGATCTAGAGGCTGCACACTTCCTCCTTCCTTCCTTCATTCAACAAATAGTAATTAACTGTGATTCTCAGAAGAGGGAAGGAAATAGTCACCACCAGAGAAAAAGAGTGTCAGATTGTGTGGGGCTTTGAGTTTTTAATTAGGCCTGACCACATAAGCAATTAAAAAAAAAAGTTAGTTTTGAGATTAAGATTTTGGAAGCAGAGCGAATGACCCAGACCCAGCCACTGGGAAAGCATGCATTCCTACCTAATTCATCATCTCTATCGGATTTGACTCAATCATCTAAACAAAAACATGCTTTTTTGAGTCATGTGTGAAACAATCTGAAATCATATATGGATACCTAATAACTTCTTGCTCACCTTAGTAAAGGAGTTTTTTCTCTAGAATGGCCCTTCCCTATTTGGGAAGATGATTCTATGTAACTGTGCTTCACCGGCACAAGGAGCTCTGAAGGCCCTGGGGAGATGCTCCAGTCTCCAGACAAGAGACTTTCCCAGCCATCACTACATCATTCACATGGGGAGCGGGGAGAGACATGCCCTGAGGTGCTATGTAGAGTGTTCTGGTGAGAATGTCTGGCCCACTTTGCTCATGGAGTTAACTGGAAGTCGCACACTAAGGCACTGGCCAAGCAAGATCCATTCTGCATGCCCTCTGTCCTACCTGCAGGCCTCTGACTGAGTAGGTATATGCCAAGCAGGGGACAGAACTTTGCAAACCATGTGTCAGCTGCCTAAGGGGGAGGAAGAGGACTGGGTCCTATCTACTCCAAACAAATAAAAACGTGTGAAATGCTTATGGGGAAGCTAGGGGAGAATGAAAGCAGACAGTCTCTGTGTCTGTTTAACAGAAATATCAAACAGCTGAGGCCTAGAAATGTCCGAGTCCCTTAAGCCCTACTTAAGGAGCTGAGATGAACCAGCACCCATCAAAGGTCTAGGAATGGAATAGGCAGAAGGGACAGATCCTTGACCGGAGATGGGCAGGCAGGCCTCGACTTCAGACGCCCATTGTCTTGCTGCAGCTCCCCAGCAGCTCCACGAGCTCCCGGACTCCATCCACCTCCCCAAGCCTGCATGACTCCTCACCGCCGCCGCTGTCCGGGCAGCCCTCGCTCCAGCCACCCGCGTCGCCCCAGCTGCCCCGGTCGCTGGACTCGCGGCCTCCCACGCCCCCAGAGCCCGATCCTGGCTCCCGGCGCAGCACCAAAATGCAAGAGAATCCGGAGGCCTGGGCCCAAGGCATCGTGCGGGAAATCCGCCAGACCCGGGACTCGCAGCCGCTGGAATATTCGCGCACGTCCCCCACCGAGTGGAAGTCCTCCAGCCAGCGCAGGGGGATCTACCCCGCCTCCACCCAGCTGGACCGCAACTCTCTGTCCGAGCAGCAGCAGCAGCAGCGGGAGGACGAGGACGACTACGAGGCTGCCTACTGGGCATCCATGAGGTCGTTCTACGAGAAGAACCCGAGCTGCTCGCGCCCCTGGCCGGTGAGCCAGCCCGCCGCCCCTGGCAGCCGGGGCGCCCTTCCTTGCAGCCTCTTCCAGCCGCCCTCCTCTCCACTGCGCAGGGAGGTCCTCCCGCTTCTCCTCCCCAAACTTCGGGGAGTCCCAGCCTCAGCTGTCTCCAGCATCCCGCTTCTCCAAGCAGGGGCCCGCTGTCCTACTCTCACCCTACCCTGGAGGAGCCCCAACCCTGTCCTCTTCGTGGCTATGTGACTATCCTCCCTTTGGCGTCCCTCTCTGCAGCCCAAACCCAAGAACGCCATCACCATTGCTCTCTCATCCTGCGCGCTCTTCAACATGGTGGACGGCAGGAAAATCTACGAGCAAGAGGGTCTGGAAAAGTACATGGAGTATCAGCTCACCAATGAGAACGTCATCCTGACCCCGGGCCCGGCGTTCCGCTTCGTCAAGGTATTCTGCAAGCTGTCTTTGGCCCGCCAGGACACTCGATGGCGAGGGAGGGACCCAGGCCAACCCTTGGGAGGGCATCCAATTTCCCAGATCATTCCTAGCCCACCCTTGTCATTCTTGTCTCCTTCTAGCTGACCCAGGTCAGTTTATGATTTCGCACAGGCTTCCAGACTGTGGAGGAAGGGACTCCAGCCCACAGCCCTAGATTTGGTATGTTAGTCTTCCCTAAGTGAAGTCCTAATCATGAGACTTGTAACAGAAACCTCTCTCCCTCGAAGGAGTGCTAAGAAGCCATAATGAGTTTATGATCCTGAGTAGTAGAAATAAAACGCCATATTACAGTGAAATGAAATTCACGTTAGCTCTTCTGGCCCCAAACATAGCATATTAAGAAAATAAAGATGCCCTTGGCACTTAGGAGTGTGACTTTAATAGAGAAGGTAAGGTTCTCTGAACTTACACTGAAATGTATAGCACTTACAACTTTGATCTGCTTATATAAATATTACACAATAACATCATAACCATGCAAAAACAAATGACACCTCTACAAGTTGTTGGTAGAATGTACTTATGAGACACAGTAAAAGCATGGGCAGGATACATGTTAATACATAAAGTACTCTGACAGAATATATACTAAAATTGGAACAAAAGAGAGACGATTTGCATGACCTCTGGGCAAGATGACATGCAGATTCATGAAGCAGTCCATATTTTTCAAAATAAAAAAAACAATCATTAGATGATCGATAAAAGCAGATTTTAAAAATCAAACATAGACAAAGCATAAAAGGGTTAGCCTGACCCTACTCTCTACCTGTCCCCCAGAGATAATTCTAGTGAACCCAAAGTGGAAACAATTTTCAACAAACATTACTCATGTATTGTGAACATTAACTGAGTTCCTATGAATGAGAGGTTGATAATACAGAAATGCATGGGATAAATCTTCCTTAAAGGAGCCAGAATCTCTCAGTGAAGATTCTTCAGAGCTTGAATTTGACTCTGATGAGATGCTTCCTCTCCGGCCTCCCCAGATCCACCCTGCCTGCCCCTCTTTACACACATTCATGTTTGTAACCTGCAGGCACTACAGTATGTCAATGCTAGACTCCGTGATCTATATCCTGATGAACAGGACTTATTTGATATTGTACTGATGACTAATAACCATGCCCAAGTGGGAGTGCGGCTTATAAACAGCGTCAATCACTACGGTAAGTAAAATAAATACCATGTGGAAGACCAGCTCTCCGCTCTGAAAGAGAGAAGCCATGTTATTTTGCTAACTGTGGCTTAACCAAATGCAGTGTCTTTGATACTGACACCCCCTTCTGCGCCAGGAATGTTTATTTGCCTATGTCAGAACAAGAGAGGCCATGTTCATTTTTAACTTCAGCACAGAGTTGGGCTCAAAGCTCTGGACTTAACTTGTCAAGTGTGAATTTCAAAGTCTTAATCCTAGGTCCTGCAATATATTTCTCTGTTGTATGTTTTTCACTTCTGAACTTGACTTCAAGAAGCCGTCAACCCAAAGGCTTTTACTGTGTGATCAAACTTCTTGCTCACCACAGATTTGTGTTAAAGGTTTAAAGGTTTTCACCTCTCCTTTCCACTCTTAAAATCTGATTGTCCCCGGCTGCTCTCTCTCCCCACACATAAAATAATTTACATAGAAAATTTGATTGATTCTAGTCTCTTCAGTGTTTCTATCAGTGTGTTGGGGACTTTAAGAGAAAGTTCCAACTTTTCCTATTATGGAACTACCTGAATTATTTCGGGCACAATTAGCCTATTTTCTAAATGGGTATGTGAAGTTAAAATAACATTTAAATTGGGCATATTTACAAATAATCGAGATATAAGTTATGAGTTTTACTTTATATTATTCTAACTATAAGGCTGGAATCATTGAAGCACATTTTAAATTTTTTTGCCTTTTAAAAGTGCAGTCTTCATAGTGTTATGAAGTAAAAAGAGAGAACATAAAAATTTAACATAGATGAGTGGCATATAGCAATCATCTAGTAAACAACAGCTAGTATTTAACAACACATAGCCTTAATTGATTTAGTAGGTGATTGAGGTCTATCTATCCCTCACCACGCTGACCTATCAAGGCTGGAAGCATAAGAAATCAGTTATTCACCTGTTAATTCTGCTGATGAACTGATTGTGTACAACCTTCTCATGCAGCCTTGTTCATGGAATAAAAATCTTTTGACCCAGAAGAGTTAGTTACTTCCTTCTCTGGGTACTGAAAGCAATTCGTATCTCCGTCTGCCAGGGTCTTTATTATAACAAATGTTTTACATGCCAGGCTCCTCAGTGAACTGTGATCTCCTTAAGAAGAGGGATGATGCTTTAATCATTTCTGGAGTCTCAGTGTCACCAAATAATTTCTGGGTGATGAAATTCATATGATTTAGGGATTTGTAGAATACACTTTTGTGCCACATATGCCCAATATTGACATAAGTGAAAAAATGAGAGCATTTTCTAATACCAAAGCAGATACTTCCACCAAGACAGTTAATGGACCTGACCTACTCTCTTGGTCCATACAGATGACAAACAACTAACTAGACACAGTATTCTGCTTTATATCATGTGCAGCTACCCAGTTTATCATATATCTAAAAAAAAAACCTCTGAATATTTTATCATATGAATAATCCTATACTTTATATAACTACTGTCACATTGTTGAACATGTTTTGCTTTTATAAATAACCCTAAACTGAGACCTTTCTGTAGAAATCGTTATCAGAATTTCAGAATATTCCTTTTTTTAAAAAAAAGGAATCTTAGGTCAAAAGGTACAAACCTGTTAAAAGCTCTTGATACATATTGCATATCATCAAATCACTTTCTAGACAGCTTGTACCAATGTACACTTTTACCCGTAGTATATGAAGGTGCATATTTTATAAACCTCTTACAAACAGCCAGTGTTTTTTTGTAATTGTTACTGATTTAAAAAAGCATTTGATGTTATATTAATGTTGAATGATGATAATTCACTGTTATATGGCTAAATCACATGTCATGAGGGTTTGGTGTAGAGATTACTTCATTACCTAGGTAATAAGCGTATTACCCAATAGGTAGTTTTTCAATCCTCATCCGCCTCCCACCCTCCACCCTCAAGTAGGCCCTATGTCTATTGCTCCCTTCTTTGTGTCCATGTGTACTCAATGTTTAGCTCCCACTTATAAGTGAGAACATGTGGTATCTGGTTTTCTGTTGCTGCATTAATTCACTTAGGATAATAGCCTCCAGCTCCATCCATGTTGCTTCAAAAAAGATGATCTCATTCTTTTTTATGGTTGTGTTCCATGGTATATATGCACTACATTTTGTTTATCCAGTCTATCATCAATGGGCATTTAGGTTGATTACATGTCTTTGCTATTGTGAATGGTCCTGCAATGAAGATATGTGTGCATATATTCTTTTTGTTTTTTTTGAGACGGAATTTTGCTCTTGTTGCCCAGGCTGGAGTGCAATAGTGCTATCTCGGCTCATGGCAACCTCTGCCTCCCAGGTTCAAGTGATTCTCCTGCCTCAGCCTCCCGAGTAGCTGGGATTACAGGCATGTGCCACCACGCCCGACTAATTTTGTATTTTTTTAGTAGAGACAGGGTTTCTCCATGTTGATCTGGCCAGTCTCAAACTCCCGACCTCAGATGATCTGCCCGCCTTGGCCTCCCAAACTGCTGGGATTACAGGCGTGAGCCACCATGCCCTGCCATGCATATATTCTTATGGTAGAACAATTTATATTCCTCTGGGTATATACCCAGCAATGGGATTGCTGGGTCAAATGATAATTCTGTTTAAAATTCGTTGAGAAATCTGCAATCTGCTTTCCACACCAGCTGAACTATTTTACACCCCCAAAAGCAGCATATAAGTGTTCGTTTTTAACCACAACCTCACCAGCAGGTCATTTTTTAACTTTTTAATAATAGCCATTCTGACCGGTATGAGATGATAATCTCATTGTGGTTTTGATTTGATTTTCTCTAATGATTAGTGAGGTTAAGCATTTTTTTCATACGCTTGTTGGCTGCATGTATGTCTTCTTTTGAGAAGTGTCTATTCATGTCATTTGCCCAGTTTTTAATGAGGTTTGTTTCTGCTTGTTAATCTGTTTAAATACCTCACAAATTCTGGATTTTTGACCTTTGTTAAATGCATAGTTTGAAAATATTTTCTTCCATTTTATAGGCTGTCTGTTTACTCTGTTGATAGTTTCTTTTGCTATGCAGAAGCTCTTTAGTTTAATTAGCTCCCATTTGTCAATTTTTTCTTGTTGTTGCAATTGCTTTTGGTGTCTTCATCATGAAATCTTTGCCAAAGCCTGTCCAGAATGGTATTTCCTAGGTTTTCCTCTAGGGCTTGGGCTTTGAGTTTTATGTTTAAGTCTTTAATCCATCTTGAGTTAATTTTTGTATCTGGTGAAAGAAAGGGGTCCCATTTCAATCTTTGGCATATAGCTAGCCAGTTATCCCAGCACCATTTATTGAATACAGAGTCCTTTCCCCATTGCATGTTTTTCTTGACTTGGTTGAAGATCAGATGGTTGTAGGTGTGTGGCTTTATTTCTGGGTTTTCTAACCTGTTCCATTGGTCTATGTGTCTGTTTTTATACCGGCACCATGCTGTTTTAGTTATTGTATCTTTGTAGTATAGTTTGAAGTTTGGTTATATAATACTTCCAGCTTTGTTCTTTTTGCTAAGTTTTGCTTTGGCTATTCCAGCTCTTTTTTGATTCCATGTGAATTTCCAAATAGTTTTTTCTAATTCTGTGAAAAATGTCATTGGTAGTTTGATAGGAATAGCATTGAATCTGTAAATTGCTTTGGGCAGTATGGCCATTTTAACAAAATTGATTCTTCCTATTCATGATCATGGGATGTTTTTCCATTTGTTTGTGCTGTCTTTGATTTTTTTTCCGCAGTGTTTTGTAATCCTTGTAGAGATTTTTCACCTCCATGGATAGCTGTATTCCTAGGTATTTTATTTTTGTGTGTGGTGATTGCAAATGGGATTGCATTCTTGATTTGGCTTTTAGCTTGAACATTGTTGGTATATAGAAATGCTACTGATTTTGCATATTAATTTTGTATCCTGAAACTGCTGAAGTTATTATCAGAGCTAGGAACTTTGGGGCAGAAACTATGGCATTTTCTAGGTGAAAAATCATATCATCTTCCAGTAGAGATAATCTGATTTCCTCTCTTTCTATTTTAATGTCTTTTGTCATTCTCTTGCCTGACTGCTCTGGCTAGGACTTCAAGGACTATGTTGAATACAAATGGTGAGAGTGGGCATCCTTGTCTGATTGCAGTTCTTCTAGCTTTTGCCCACTCAGTATGATGTTGGCTCTGGGTTTGTCATAGATGGCTCTTATTATTTTGAAGTATGTTCCTTTGATGCTGAGGGTTTTTTTGGGGAGGGGATTAACATGAAAGGATGTTAAATTTTATTGACAGCCTTTTTTGCATCTATTGAGATTATCATATAGTTTTTACTTTTAGTTCTGAACTAAAAGTTTAAGAACTTTTAGTTCTTTTTACTTTTATTTGATGAATCACATTTATTGATTTGTGTATGTTGAACCAACTATGCATCCTAGGAATAAAGCCTACTTGATCACAGTAGACTAGCTTTTTGATGTGCTGCTGGATTGGGTTTGGTAGTATTTTGTTGAGGACTTTTGCATCTGTGTTCATCAGGGATATTGGCCTGAAGTTTTCTTTTTTCTGTGTCTCTGCCAGGTTTTGGTATCAGAGTTATGTTGACCTAATAAAATGAGTCAGGGAGGAGTCTCTCCTCCATAATTTTTACAATAGTTTCAGTAGGATTCATACCAGTTCTTCTTATATGTCTGGTAAAATTTGGCTGAGGATCCATCTGGTCCAGGGCTGTTTATGGTTGATAGGCTTTTTATTACTGATTCAATTTAGAAACTTGTTATTGGTCAGTTCAGGGTTTCAGTTTCTTCCTGGTTCAATCTTGGGAGGTTATATTTTTCTAGGAATTTATCTATTTCTTCTAGGTTTTCTAGTTTCTATGCATAGAGGTGTCTGTAACAATCTCTGAGGGGTTTTTGTTTTGTTTTACTATTTCTGTGGGGTTGGTAGTAATGTCACTTGTGTCATTTCTGATTGTGTTTATTTGGATTTTTCTCTCTGTTTTTCTTTGTTAGTCTAGCTAGCAGTCTATCAATCTTATTTGTTCTTTCAAATAACAAACTTTTGGTTTTTTGATCTTTTGTATATTTTTTCCCATCTCAATTTCATTCAGTTCAGCTCTGATTATGGTTATTTCTTCTGTTAGCTCTAAGGTTAGTTTTTTTCTTTCTTTTTTTTTTCTAGTTTCTCTAGGTGTGATGTTATGTTGTTAATTTGTGATCTTTCTAACTTTCAATGAAGGTGTTTCGTGCTATAAACTCCCCTCTTAACAGTGTTTTAGCTATGTCCCAGAGATTCTGGTATGTTGTATCTTTATTATCATTAGCTTCAAATAATTTCTTGATTTCTGCCTTAATTTCATTGTTTACCCAAAAGTCATTCAGGAGCAGGTTGGTTGTTTACTTTCCATGTAATTGTATGGTTTTGAGATAGAGCCTTTTTTTTTTTTTTTTTTTTTTTGAGACAGAGTCTTGCTCTTTCACCAGGCTGGAGTGCAGTGGCGCGATCTCGAGAGCCACATCTTAATAGACCTTTACAGTTAGTGAGGAGGCTGTAGTTCAAGAAAAAGTACCCTGTTCTAGCCCAGACAAGAGTCAAACACTTGGGCTCAAGTCTGCTCTATGCATCTAAATCAGTGTGTTAGATAAGTCTTTATGTCTAACTTTCCTTTCCTGTAATGAAGATAATAATACCTTCAGTATGTTTGTGAGAATAAAATGGCATGATCTATGTGAATATACTATGCCCATAAACTGTAATGTACCAAATACAACCACTATTACATAAAATAGTTGAGGAATTTTAAATATTGGTACCATAAGATGATTTTTAAAGTTTATTTCTAAGGTAACTTTCCTTTAGGTTCACAAATAAAGCCAGTTGAATTTACAAATAAACTCAGTTATCTCTAAGGTAACTTTTACTTGGATTTACGGCATTTTGTCTTTAATCTCTGTCATAACAAAGTCTTTCTTGCCTGATAATAGGCTTACTGATTGACCGCTTCTGTCTGACCGGGGGAAAAGACCCCATTGGCTATTTGAAGGCATATCTTACCAACTTGTATATTGCTGCAGATTCTGAAAAAGTGCAAGAGGCAATACAAGAAGGTATTAGTCTGATTTTATTCCTCTAGTTAATAAAGAGGTTTACACTAATGGTGACTTACATTAAGTTTCGCATATGATTATGAGGCTTATGGTCTTGTTGGATATTCTTCTGAAGTTTTTCCACATGGGGCAACACTTAAGTCTGTCCTTTAGAGCTTTGACTTTCCTGGAAATGGACATCCTCAGTAATTGTCCTACAATCCATTTCACATGTTCCATCCCTATAGAAACAGAGGCAGTGCATAGACAACTGTTCTGAGGTCTGTGGTTGTGAAGAGGAGTTGAGCCATCAGGTAATAGCTAGAGAGAAAACATAAGGTCTGGGAGAATTTGTTTTTTTTAATGGTAGAAACTATAACTCATGGACCTGAGAAGAGTATTAATCAGTCTCCATGATCTATCAGGTATTGCCTCTGCGACAATGTTTGATGGAGCCAAAGACATGGCTTACTGTGACACTCAGCTCCGTGTAGCCTTTGATGGGGATGCTGTCCTCTTCTCTGATGAGTCTGAACATTTTACCAAGGAGCATGGGCTCGACAAATTCTTCCAGTATGATACATTATGTGAAAGTAAGCCTCTTGCTCAGGTAGGTTCAATGAGTGCTAATTAATTTTTATGTACTTATTTATTTTCTAATATATAAATATCAATATTGGTCCATTCTGATGAATGTTTAAGTTATTCTAGGCAGGGCACTCCTTCTTACTGTCTTATCTTTGGAGCTTTCTCTCTTTCTTTCATGAATGGCTCACTTTGATGCATTCACTGCTGACAACTTTATTTTTAATTTTCACATTATTTTATCTATCCTTTTGGAAATACTTGCATGATCTTCCCATGATAAGAAGTCTGCCCTCTCCCAATTGGGAGTAACAGGAAATACTGCTTATCAATAAGCCATTTCTACATAATAAATTCTCAAAATAGTAGGGTCATTTCCAATAGATTAGAGTAAGCATTTGTTGAATCTCTGTCCTTGACTTCAAACTCAAGAAAGGCATCGCTTAATTGAGAAAATATGCACAACTAAGAACTTGAATCAAATAATGATCCTCAAACAAGTGCAAATTATGAATATGTAATCAAACTGAAACTAAATATTTAGATTGTTTTGGATTAGTGCTGTTGAGTACCTTTCAATCCATCCATGAACTGAAGTGTTAAAATCAAGGTCGAAAATGAACAGAACCTATAACTTTTGAACAAAAGGAAATCTGAAATCAAAATGTCACTTAATCTGAATCTAAACTGATAGGTCTTTTAATTTTATTCTATCAATTTTCCCAAGAAATTTAATTGTTCTTTTTCTCAGTTCTTCCTGAACTTAAGTTAAACTTAAATATTGTTATTTTTATATAAATTCATAAAAGTATGAATAGACTAATTGAAAGTTGAAAAGTTTTTCTACTTAGTCACCTCTCATTAAAGCAAGCAATATTTAAACTATGGGAGTGTGTGTTCAACTTCATATTCTCTTTCTAAATAGCTCCTTTGGAAACCCTGACCTAGTGTTATAAAGTTCTGTATTAACAAAGCTTACTATTAAGAAAATTCTTTGTTATATTTTATATCAGTCTACTCTGCTGAAATTCAGAGCCTTTCACCATTATTGAAATGTGGAAATCCTCCATAAAAAGAACACTTAAACAAAAACACTTCAAAGAAAGCATTACTTCCAGACAAATGTTAAAGTAGTATTTTCCCATCTGAAGTAAATAATCTAAATTTCTTTTAGATTTTACATTTTTCAGTTCTTTTCTCATTTTGTACTTTGTTCTTTTTTTCAGCTTTATTGAGTTATATTTAATTTTTAAAAGTTGCACATATTTAATGTATACATTTTGATGAATTTGGACATATACATACACTCATGATACTGTCACTACAAATAAGGTAATAAACACATCCAGCACTCTCCTTGTCTTTTAAAATTTTTTTTGTATTGTGGTAAGAATACTTAGCATATGATCTATCCACTTAACAAGTTTTTAAGTGTACAATACCATATTGTTAACTATAGGCGCTACATTGTACAGCAGATCTCTAGAATTTATTCATCTTAGCAGATCTTCCAGGTCTCATCCATTTTGTTACAAATGGTAGTATTTCCTTCTTTTTAAAGGCTGACTAATATTATGTTGTGTCTTATCCCACATTTTCTCTATCCATTCCCCTGATGATGGACATTTGGGTTATTTCCAAATATTGGCCATTGTGAATAATGCTGTAGTAAATGCTGCAGTTTACATAGCTCTTTCAGATCCTGCTTTCATTTCTTTTGGATATATACTCAACAGTGGGATTACTGAATCATTTGGTAGTTGTTCTATTCTTAGTTTTTGGAAAAACTTCCATTCTGTTTTCTACAGTGGCTATACCATTTGACATTTCTGCCCACAGTGTATAAGGGTTCCACATTCTCTACATACTCCCCCAGCATTTGGTATCTTTGTTTTGTTTTGTCTTCTATAATAACCATCTTGACTGGTAAAATTTGATATTGGATTGTGGTTTTTATTTGGATTTCTCTGATGATTAATGTGTTGAGTACCTTTTCATATACCCATTGACATTTGTATGTGTTCTTTAGAGAAATGTCTATTCAAGTCCTTTGCCCATTTTTAACCAGCTTAATTTGTTTTTATTTTGCTGTTGAGTTGTAAGAATTCCTTGCATATTTTGGAAATTAACCCTTATCAGATGTATAGTTTGCAAATATTTTCTCCCATTCCATAGGGTGCCTTTTCACTCTGTTGTTTCCTTTGCTTTGCAGAAACTTTCTAGTTTTATGTATTCTCACTTATTTTGCTCCTTAAATTGCCTTTTTCTCCCATTAAACAATTAAAATTGTGAATCCCAACCCTACTTATTGCAGGAATACTCAACACATTTCTAGTATACATGCTTTCCTTTATTATGCAGTACTTCTGCCAGTTTAAAAAACATGCCATTTTTTTACATGAAAAAGATGATTTTCCATAAAGGCCAGAAGGCCTTGCTGGGTGTGTTCCACTGATGAGAAAGAATGTATGAGGTACAACTCCTACTGAAGACATTCAAGTATGTTGCTAGTAGGGTGTTGGTTTGGTCATGACAGTATCTTAATTTTGTCAAATGGAAGAGGTCTGAAACTCACCAGCAAATGGGACAGCTGGAGAGGATTAATTTAACAAGTCTGAATGTAGTTTATGAGCCTCCAATCTCCAATGTAGTACAGTGACAAGTAACTGATATCTCCTGATTTGATCCCTATCTCTTGTCTCACCATTCTGGAATAATGGTCTCTAAGTGTGTGTGTGTATGTTTGTGTGTGTGTGTGTGTGTATCAGAATTTTTGAGGTATATTTATATAGAGTAAAATTTATAATTTTAAGTGGATAATTTCATTTTAACAAATATATATAATTGTGAAATAACCACTAACATAAAAATACATACTCAACAGTTTCGTTAAATCACTAAATTCCCTCATGCCCCTTTGTAGTCATCCTAGTACCCTATCTCCACACCCCATCAACCACTGATTTCTTTTTCTATAGTTTTGCCTTTTCCAGGTGTCACATAAATGGAATCATACACGATGCAATCTGACTTCTTTTATTTATCATAGCATAATGCATGTCATTGCATGTATCAGTACTTGGCTCCTTTTTATTGCTGAGTAGTATTCTATTCTGTGGATGTACCACATTTTCTTTATTCATTTACCTGTTGAAGGAGTAGGTCATTTCTAGTCTTTGACATTTATAAATGAAGCTACTTTTAAACATTTGAATACAAACTTCTGTGTAAATATAAGATTTCATTTCATTTTTAAATACCTAGAAGTGGAATTGCTAGGTCATGTGATAAATAGTGTATGTTTTATTTGATGAGATACAGTAAAATTATTTTCCCAAACGACATAACATTTTGCATTTCTAAAAGCAATGCATGGTTTTGTTGCTTTGCATTGTTGCTGGCCTTTGGTAGTATTCAGTATTTTTCTTTTCTTTCTTTCTTTAAGCAATTTTAGTGTTGATAAAAAAATTATCTCATTGTAGTTTTGGCTTCATTTCTTTAATGACAAATGTTACTGAGCATCTTATCAGTGCTTTTTTCCATCACATATCTTCTTTGGTGAAGTACCTGTTCAAATATTTTCCTTATTTTATTGGGTTTTTGGTTTGTTATCAACTTCTGAGAGTTCCTCATATGTTTTGGATACTCATCCTTTATCAGGTGTGTGTTTTACAAATATCTTCTCTCAGCCTGTGCTTGTCTTTCATTCTAACATCTTTCAGTGCTTTTCAGTGAGCAGAAACTTATAATTTTGATGAAGTCAGATTTATCAATTTTTTCTCTTAGAAATTGTGCTTTTAATGTCATATATAAGAAATCTTTGCCTAATCCAAGGCCACAAGGATTATCTCCAGACTTTTTATATAGAAATTTTATGGTTTTAGGTTTCTTACTTAGGATTATCATCTATTTTGAGTCAATATGGTATTTGTGCAAAGCACAAGTTGTGGTTCATTTTTCCTCCTTATCCTAATTTCCTGGATATCTTAATTGTTCAAGCATTATTTGTTGAAAAGGGTGATTTTCTGCCTTGTTCCTTTAATACAGATATTCATCCCTTTATCAATATTACATTGTCTTGATTATTGTAGTTTTATAGTAGTTCTTTTTTTTTTTTTTTTTTTTGACAGAGTCTCGCTCTGTCGCCCAGTCTGGAATGCAATGGCATGATCTCGGCTCACTGCAACCTTCGCCTCCCGGGTTCAAGAGATTCTCCTGCCTCAGCTGCCCGAGTAGCTGTGACTATAGGCACCCACCACCACACCCAGTTAATTTTTGTATTTTTAGTAGAGAGTAAAATACCATATTGGCCAGGCTGGTCTCAAACTCCTGACCCGCCTCAGCCTCCCAAAGTGCTGGGATTACAGGCATGAGCCACTGCACCTGGCTATAGTATTTCTTAGGCCCAGGTGGTGTGAATACTTCAACTTTGTTAAAATTAACATATATATATATATATATATATATATATATATATATATATATATATACACACACACAGAGAGAAAGAGAGAGAGAGTACAGTCTGATTCCCTTGCACTTTCATATAGATTTAAGAAGTTTATTTCTGGGGGAAAAATTTTTACAAGAATTTTTTATTTTTATTTTATTTATAGCTAGATCTTGGGATAATAGATATCTTAACAATATTAAGTCTTTCTGTCCATGGACATGGTATTTCTCCTCTCCTCATTTATTTAGATCATTTAAATTTTTTTTTTAGTCTTTTGTAGGTTTTAGCACACAGATATTACATTTTTTTATTTATACCTATGCATTTTGTAATATTTTGGTACTATCATAAATGGTACTTTAAAAATCCTTACTGTCCGATTATTTATTGCTAATACATAGAATCACAATTGGTTTTTGTATTCTGCAACCTTGTTCAATTTCCTTGTTAGTTCTCGCAACAATTTTGTAGATTGAGATTTTCTAAGTCAACAATAATGTTGACTGTGACTAAAGACAGTTTTATTTCTGTGTTTCCATGCTGTATATCTGTTATTTATCATTCTTGCCTTTTTACCTTGCTAGTACATCCAGTACAATGTTCAGAACAGTGATGAGGGTGGACACCCTTGCCATATACCCAGATCTTAGAGGGACATCAATCTTTCACTCTTAACTGTTATCCATTGATCTTTTCTAGATGCCTTTTGTCAGGTTGAGGGAGCTACCTTCTCTTTCTAGCTGTTTGGGAGTTTTTATAATAAATGAAGGTTGAATTTTGACTAATGCCTGATTTGCATCTATTGAGAAAAAACATGTGGTTTCTCCCCTTTAGTCTGTTGTTATGTAAATTACATTAATGGATTTGTAAAAGCTGAGGCAGCTTTGCATTGTTGGTATTAATTCAAGTTGGTCATGTGGTATTATCCTTTTCATATATCGCTGAATCCAATTTGTTAATATTTTGTATTATTTATTCATTTATGTATTCATGTTCATCCTCTACAGTTTTCTTCTCTTGTAATATCTTAATCTGACTTTAGTAACAGGGTAGTACTAACCTCATAAAATGTGATACAAACTATTTAAAATGTTTGGTAGAATTTTTCAGAGACGCCATCTGAGTCTGGACTTTTTTCTTTGTTGGAAGGCTTTTAACTACTGATTCAATTATTTTGATAGCTATAGAACTTCCATTTTTCTTTTTCTTCCTTTTCTCATTCTTTTCTTCTGTTTATGAGCTTGCATTTTTCAAGGAATTTGTTCATTTAAATAACTGAATTTATGGACATAAACTCTTAGAGTGTTTTATTAATATGTTTTTAACATTTGTAGGATCCTTAGTGATGTGTCCCCACTTTTATTTCTGATACTAGTAATTTGTGTCTTTTCTTT